>NC_000013.11:93525706-93828736 GCF_000001405.40 Homo sapiens | reverse complement strand
TTCTATGAAATATATATATATTTTTAAATAGACATTCTGTTGCTACAGTGGCAGCAAAAACTGTGGGATTACAAATACTGTGTAATTTTGTCCAGGTCACCAAATGGTTTTTATTTTTACTAAATGTAAAATAAAGTTGAATATTATTAAATCTCTCTGAATCTTTAGGGATTCGGTAAAGAAAATGACTATTGAAGCAGATAGGGCGAAATTTGCAAAATTGAGAAGCATAAATTTATCAAAATATTTATATATGCTGTATGCTGATATTGCTTATCATTTTAGGAAATCAAGAGAATTTCATACTTTTTTCAAAAATGCTAGTTATCTAGTTTGTCCTAAAATGGAAACTATATTAAATTATTAATATAAAAGTATGAGAATATCATAAGTTAAACCTTCCGATCTGGAAACCAAGAATGAAAGTAGCTTGGCCTTGCTGATACAGGAACAGGGTGGAAGGCGTAACAGATTGTGAAAGAAGATAAAAAAGAATGGGAAAATCACTGAATTGAAAAATACTAATACAATGAGACTGGAAAGTGGATTCTAATCATGAGCTCTGCAGCCTATTCATTTATCTTCTTTTTGAGGTCAATTATTTTGTTGGACTTAGGAATTAAAGCTTAATTTATTGAATACAGAATACTGCCTTCAGCAATGAATAGTAATCAATAGTGTGGTCTGGATTTGCAAAGAGCTTTAAAAAAAAGAGAAAGAGAAAAAAAAAAATTCTCTGATACTCATTGCTTTCCAAAGTCTTGAGAAATAAATGTTTGTCTTAGGAATAAAAATATCATTTTCTCTTTTACTGAGGGTAACACCTCCTTCAGTTTTTTTTTATTTTTTCTTCTGCTGATATGAGGACTCTGAATATTGAGCTATGCCCACTTTGAAAGTGAATGGTTCAAACAAGACTGCCCACTCACTATGTCTTGTGGTTTGTTTTTCCCAAGTTTAAATTAGTATTTGTGATTGAGTATAGAAACCAAGTTATCACATTTCAATAAATACGGCTCAAATAACATTTTCTTAGATTCCAAGCTTACATTGTTGTCTAAGAGTATGCCATTGTCTCAAAAGTTTTCTATTAACTTCACTGATCCTCAAAGTCAAGTTATTATTATTTCTTGTTAAAAATCATTACATGGTTTACTGATCTCATAGTCAAAGTTAATATTTGGTATTGAAAGACGCTAATGTATCAGCCAATTATGACAAATGTTGCTACCTCAAGGCACATTGATCTAAGATCTTATGAATAATGGAGATCCAAGGTACTGAGGCAAAGCTAATGTCCTCCCAAAATAAGGGTACTCATTTCATTTTCACCATGACTGTAGACATCCACCTTTTGAAATCTGACTCTTTGAACTAATTACTTTATGCTTGGATGAAAATTGTTTCTCAGCAAACCAAACAAGATGGAGATTTAGAAGACAGTTATGTGATCCATTTTACTGATGAAGTATCATGTGCAAGCAACATCAGAGAGAACAAAATTCAAGGACAATATAAGAAAAAGCAATCTCAACTGAACTCTTTTTAATGGAAGAGGACAAAGCACACATTGGATAAAGTCTTCAGTCAACAAAAATTTTTATCTGCAAAAAACAGTTTGGCAGAAAGAAATGCTATTTGATTTTTTCTTCTTCCTCAATCACAAAATATACATCAAAGTTGGTTGCTCAGGGCTCAGTTACGCTTCATAGGTGCACAAAAAACCTTTCCTAGCCAGCATTAGCCTCTGGGAAGATTTTATTCATCTAGAGGGGAGATCTCAATGCAAACATCTGTTTGCTTCAGGGCAGATTGTCTCAAGTGGGAGAACAGTCTTGTAGATAAAAACCACCACTGTTGCAAAAGCAAAAAGAAGGTCTGTGTGATGTGGCCTGATCACTTGGAGAGACCTCTTAAGGGGCAGAAACCAACCCCAAGGAGCCAAGAGGTGCCCTAAGGATAACTGAGAAAGGCTCCAAATGAAGCCTCCAAATAAGTGGACTGAAAGGTAAGATGGCACACCGGGACAAGGGGAAGCACAGAAAAAGGAAAAAGGCAGACAAGAGGCTCTCTACAGTCTACATCACACAGCAAAAGCTTTTCCCATTCAACTCAGAAATGTCTTGTTAACACTACATAGATAAACATGTTCTGTGCTGGATTAGGTACAGGATTGGATTAAGTACTATATAACATCCTTTTCCTATTTTTTTTCATGCTCTCAGAGACATTTCCTATTAAAAACTTGCTTAAAATGAATGTTACAGCATGGTGGTGTGAATCTATATCCTTTCGGAACCCAAGGAGTGAAAAGCTTTGGTCATTAGTCAGTCGAGATTATAGCACTTGTCCTACTGTGGGAAGCAGGTATGCTGTTTCCTTCCTTAAACCCAGAAATACACACATGTGTATGCAATTGTGTATGTTTGTGTAGTTATCTGCTAATCTCTTTGTTTCTACTCTCCCTCAACAACAGTATGATAAATCAGTTTGGTCAGCCCAGCCAAGCTGTGGGTAAGGAATGCTCCATAGGAGGGGCTGACATGGAGGATAAACTGGTTCTGAAAGCTGACATCCGGCCGGGTGCAGTGGCTCATGCCTGTAATCTCAGCACTTTGGGAGGCCGAGGTGGGCAGATCACCTGAGGTCAGGAGTTCGAGACCAGCCTGGACAAACTGGTGAAACCCCGTCTCTACTAAAAATACAAAATTAGCCAGGCATGGTGGTGGGCACCTGTAGTCCCAGCTACTCAGGAGGCTGAGGCAGGAGAATCACTTGAACCCAGGAAGCGGAGGTTGCAATGAGCTGAGATCCTACTGCTGCACTTCAGCCTGGGGGACAGAGCAAGATCCATCTCAAAAAAAAAAAAAAAAAAAGAAAATAATAAAATAAAAAATAAAAGATGAAAGCTGACATCCTATAAGGGTTATGATCCATAGACACTCAATAAACTTACCAGCCTGTCTTCCCTCCTGCCTTTCTCAAGGTGAAATGAGGAGTAGTCTTTCTCATTCCACACACATGTGTCAGCTTTCAGATATATCTTTGAGATCATTTCTCCTTTCAAAAGGCATCTTGCTTATGTAACAGCCTGATATAATCTGCAGGAAAATGCTGAGTTAATGAGGAGCGTTAATGAAGGGAGACCCACAGTGCCATTTATCCTCTTCTGCATTAGACTGTGAGGGAGGGAAAACATGGTCCCAAATGGCCTATCTCTTCCCACTTCCCAGAGGCTGGGACCTTGAAAGTAAGTAGAGTAAAGATGGACATTGCTCAGGACGTCTGTCCTTGCCACATGAGGCGGTGTCCTTTGCAAGCTGCAGCTTGTGTGCTATTGAGCAGTAGATGACCCTAGTCTATCTCAGGTGTCAACTTCAGCACTGTGCTCATTTTGAGCTGGATAATTCTTTCTTTGGGCAGGGGTTTGGGGAGCACTGTGCTGTATATTGTAAATTATTAAGTAGTATGCCTGGCCTCTACCTTTTAGATGCCAGTGGCACATCCTTCTCTGAGTAGTCACAACCAAAATGTCATCAAACATTATCAAATGTCCTCTTGGGGACAAGACCACTCTCACTCCCTTCCTTACCCCCACCTGCTGAGAGCCACCCTTCTACTGATAGATTCCAAGGTCTACTAATAGAACATTAAAAATATTCAGAGAAAACGCCAGCCTATTTCTAAACCACATCTCATCAACCCCATGATTTGTTTGTAATACAAATTTGAGGTGCTGTGTCTTAAATGGAAGGAATTGAAATACAGATTGTATTCACAGTAAGATTCTCGGTAGTCAATACTCCCATTTCCATGTATGGTGCCTGTTACATGATAGTGCCTTAAAAAGTGGTGAATAGTGAATGAATGAATAGATCGATGGATGAACATGACCATCCAGTGAAATACATCCTGACTCCTTTGGTTCTGGACTTCTCTTTGATAGTGATGATTTTGTGGGCCCGCCTCAGAGAAAGAAAGATCCCACAAACCACATCTTAGAACAGGACATAACTGATTTGCCCTCTTGTCATCTTGCAAATTCTTATACATTTATACACATATAAATATTCATGTATAACCCCCCATGCTCCAAGTTCATGTGTACCTACGCATATAATATTGTGCCTTTGTTTAAAAAAAAAAAAGTTGGCTATCAATATCGCTCTGCCAGAGCTTGACTTTCTCTCCAAACTCTGCCTGTCCTGAGCCATTCTTTGCGTGGCTTAATGATTGCTTCTGCTGTTCTGTCCCTGCTGGGACATGACTTCATAGTGCATTATCTCACCAAGCTGATTGCACTCACATTCACTCACATACTACATTTAAGCAATGCCCAGCATGCTACATTAGAGTTAATTCCCAAACCACTTTTGAGTCTCACACATTGCAGTCTCACACATAAAGCCTTCTTCCACTCAATAAGTCATCTGCTGTATTGAATAAACTCACATTGAGGCTTTGCTCAAGTATTGTTTTTAATATGCAAGACTATGGCATCCTTTATTTCCTCACTCATACAGTTTTTTTAAAAAGCAATTATATAAGGGAAAAAGGAAAAGAACTATTTCCAATAGATATTACATTGTCTCAGTATTTTTTTCTTAAACATCACTTGCATTTTTTGGTGTAAAAAGCAGATTCTTTGAATGTATTTTTTAGATTTTGAGGTTGAAATTATATAAAGATTTTTTTAAATTACAGTTTATTTTAAAAGGGAGAAATAAAAATCTATGATTATTAAAAGACAATATTGCTTTAAGCAATAATTCCTTTGGGATTTGCCACTTCTGCATCTCATAATTCACACTTTCCTTTGCTCTGAATGTGTGTAGGTGTATGTTTTTATAAATTAAGTTTATTATAAGTATTATTATTTACTCAACTAATTATTCCTAGGACTTAACAAAAGCTTATGTAATTTCAAAGTGATCTCATAGTAGGAATCCACATCTTTCCTGTTTGAGAGGTTATTAGAACCAAATTTTTAACCCTCAAGTAAATGTCCCTCCCCTCCATATACACAAACTAATTAAAAATGCCAGTAATATGGCAATAGAACATCTTCATCATTTCCATTTGTCTTCGTCATATTTTAGGAGAAAAGTAAAGATACCAAACTTTAACTGGAGACAAAAGTGGATTTGAAACAGTGAATGATGCTAATTTCAAGTAAAAGTAAAGATAGTACCTAAGATGTTGCCTGACTTCTAACGGGCATCAGATATTTTATTACAGGCTTTACTTACTTGCAAGGCAATCAGTTATTAGTTTATCTAGTTTGCAGATAGGAAAGCTGAGGCTCAAAATGTTAAGTGAGTTGCCCTAGATCAATAGAACCAGAATGCAACCCAGAGATCCAAAACGATGATAGACAAGAAACAGTTCTAGGAAAGAACAAGACAGCAGGATGGCTTTGTAGTCTATCCTAAGTCAAATTTTCAGACCATGATATGAATAATTAATGGGAAGCATTATAAACTCTTAGGACAGTGGATAAATTCATATTTATATAATATAAATTGCAAAATGCATTCTAAAGTCATACCTAAATTATTTATAAAAGTAATTTTCGGCCAGGCATGGTGGCTCATGCCTGTAATCCCAGCACTTTGAAAGGCCATGGCAGGCGGATCATGAGGCCAGGAGATCGAGACCGTCCTGGCTAACACGGTGAAACCCTGTCTCTACTAAAAATACAAAAAATTAGCCAGGCATAGTGGCAGGCACCCATAGTCCTGGCTCCTCAGGAGGCTGAAGCAAGAGAATTGCTTGAACCCAGGAGGCAGAGGTTGCAGGCAGCCAAGGTCGTGCCACTGCACTCCAGCCTGGGTGACAGAGCGAGACTCCATCTCAAAGAAAATAATAATAATAATAATAAAATAATAATAATAATAATAATAATAAAGAAAATGTGGCACTTATACACCATGGAATACTATGGATCCATAAAAAAGGATGAGTTCATGTTCTTTGCAGGACATGAATGAAGCTGGAAACCATCATTCTCAGCAAACTAACACAAGAGCAGAAAACCAAACACTGCATGTTCACACTCATAAGTGGGAGTTGTACAATGAGAACACATGGACACAGGGAGAGGAACATCACACACTGGGGCTTGTTGGGGGGTGGGGGTCTAGGGGAGGGATAGCATTAGGAGAAATACCTAATGTAGGTGATGGGTTGATGGGTGCAGGAAACCACCATGGTACATGTATACCTATGTAACAAACGTGCATATTCTGCACATGTACCTCAGAATGTAAAGTGTAATAAAATAATAATAATAATTTTCATGTGTGATTATTGTCCCCTTAATATTAAGTAGTTAATGCAGATAACCGAGCCTGGAGAGCATGCTCAAACCTCTGGGATTGGTATATTTTCCTAAAAGCGGGGGCTTCTGCTAGAAGAAAATCAAACACAGAACCTGGGATTATCACTACAGTGTATAGAACAGTGACTGGCTTACAAAAGGATAGTTAAAATGTTTGGCCAAAATGGTGCCTCATTTTATGATATTTGTACACATAGAAAATATTGTGTAAATCATAATTAATTCACAATATGTATATACATACATGTATATATGAAATGTGTATATTTATATATACAGACAATATTGTGTAAATCATTTTATGTATATCATATTATGTATTTTATGCAAAATATTATGTACTTTATGTATATCATGTGTATACATATTATGTATATATGTATATACATATAACAATTATACATATACGTGACTACATTCACATATCCCTGACAAATTACATAGAAATCATATTTTCATGTTAGATAATATGCTTAAATATATAATTCAGTTGTAAGTCTTAACATTTTGTTAAAATTCTCTATAATAGTTATCCTTTAAGGAAATGAGTGTCCTTAAAATAAGAGCTATTAATGTTATTTGTTTCAACCAAGGAGACTCACAGACAGGGGGGCCCTGACTTTGTTCAGCAATCTCAATGGAAAGACAAGTTAGAGAAACTGAGGAAGAACAAAAAAAGCTGATCACATAGTACATCTACTGTGAGATGTGACTGTCCAAATATAATACAGAAAAGATATGTTTCCACTTCCAAAATGGAGTTCTAATAAAGGATGTTATTTACAGTTGAGTACTGTGGTTGCAAATGATTATAATTGCAACACTTAAAAATCCCAATGTCCTAAATTTGTACTTCTCGAGGTACATTTGACCAGCCCAGGAAGAGACTGTGCGCCTGAACTGTGCATCCCAGGCCCCTGGAGAGGTTCAGCACCCAGGACAATGCTTCTAGTACTGAACGTCCCCAGCAGACAATCTGCTTACCTTTCCTATATGAGTATTTTCCAGGCCTATTTCCTCTTCAGGACCCTCATCCCTATAACATTATTAAATAGCTTGAAAACAAGTGTTTCAGAGAACATACTTTACGAAATACCGTAACAGTTTCAAGAAGGGGTTGCTTCTAGTCAGCAACCTATTTTAAGTCCTGTGAGCTAAGAATGGTTTTCACATTTTTCTGTTTGAATACAAAGAAAAAAACCAACAACAAAAGATGATATATCACAGAGACTTTATGTGGTATAAAATGACAAAAGTATTTAATATCTAGTCCTTTACCAAAAAATTTTGCCAATCCTTAGCATGGCAGGTCAAAATCTTAAGTGAGACATTCAAAGATAAATTAATTCAACAAAACATATCATGCCTTTAAATTCTTGTAGTCAGGAAGACAGTTTAATTATTAGTCTGCCAACTCTCTCATAAACAGTAGAATAAAAGTTCCTTTTCTTTCAGTATTTTCATATGTTAAAATGTGCTCTGAAAACTCCACAATGCACTCATCTCTTTATATTCCTTTGCACGGTAGCTAAAATCTAAAAGTAACTCCCTCAATCATGTAAATGATTTGGAGGATTCAGGTGAATTTAGTGATTTTAAAGTGAGACACTCCTAAATTTTTCTAAGGCTGTAGTCTAATGAGTCCCAGGAGACTTAAAAAAATCTCACAGTAACTCTGACATTTAAAAGAGTATAGAGATGAAAAAGAAGAATAAAAAAAAAAAACCCTACTTTGATACTGGGTTAAGAAAAACTATTGTTATTACAATTTCCTTTTTTTTTTAACTTTCCATTCATGACAATTAATAAAAATAGAAATTTAAACTATCTTTTAACATCTTACAAAAACTATCAAAGGCCCTGCAACAAAATATAATGTTCATCACAAAACAAGGAGAATTATTTTCAGAAAATCATAAGTATATTGGCTGTTAAAAATACTGTAACACATAATTCAAAAATGTTCACAATATTTAATCCAAGGATCACTTTGTATTATATTACTCTCAATGTGTATTGGAAACTCTTAAACATTATAAATTAAATTTACTTAAATTATATATAAGTAGAAACAAGAGTTCTAGGGCAATACTCCTATTCAGTAAGTCAAGTAAATCAAGAATATAATAATGTATTTTAATGCATTATTCAGGACAATTGTACATCACCAGTTTATGTTTTTCCAATGTGTCTAATTTAATAAACTTTTCCATGAAGAAATTTTTAATGAAAAGTCATCAGTATACAACCATGAATGTTCATTAAAAATAATCAATACCTTGCACCAAAGTACTTCAATTTAATTCCACTACAGTCAGCTGAAGAGACTAAATGCTGGATTTTTCAGAATCAAGTGTGTAATTCAGTTGCAAAAATGAAAGTTTCCTGAAAAGCAGCACTATGTAATTGGTTGATATAGGGAGATTTGAAGCAATAAAGCAGTTTGTAGAAATGCTGACTTGAATCCACATTTCACAAGGTTAAACTTTTTCTATTCTTAGTGATCCTTTACACATTAGATTGATAAATGTTTTATTTCTTGGTAGGTTATTTCTCCCAAAGATATCTTTTAAAGTAAGAAAGACTGATTAGGCCATTTATGTTCTCATGGTGGTATAGATAAACTATTAATTCCCAGAATCATGAATTAAGTCTGAAATGTGCTGATGGTTGCTGCTAAAAGCAAACAACTGCTTTGAGCCTATGGACTGCATTTCTATCTCACCCTAAGCTCTGAATATAAAATTAAAAGCTGAGATGCTTTCGCAGTTGACTTTCATCATTGCAGTTTCCTAGCACTGGCCTAAAGAAAATGGCCTCTGGGCCTGGCCCGCAAATCTGCTTCCATTTTTCTTTCAGAAATGACATTAACCAGAGTGTGGGATGCCTGTTTAACCCTTTATGCACCTAAAGTATATAACTGTATTAACAGTAACTTAAAATCATTCCCAGCTTTTTTTTTCTCAACTGTAAGAGGCAATTAGGTTTCCAAATCATGATGGTAGTATTAACAATATATATTAACCTGTTCACAAACCCAGTTCTTTCCCCAGCTCCCGTTCCTTCTTCACCTAAACATTTGTTGGACTAGCAGATGGAAAAACTCCAAGAACAAACCACCAAGGATCAAATCTGGGATGTGGACCCAAAGCTAGTTTTTTGCTAAAAGCCAGTGATAAGGACCTGGGGCTATTGGAACAAAAGATTGTGTAGGCTCTAAGGAGACTAAAGAGGAACAGTCAAATGGAGTGTACTTTTTCCTTCTTCTTCACACAGTTCAGTGGTTTTCAACCCAGGGTGCCCATTAAAATCACTTTTAAAAATCTTTATGCCCAGGCTGCATTCATTTTCTCTGGGAGTGGGATCCAGGTACCAGTATATCTTGTATACTTGTATATCTTGTATACTGATCTCCCCAGGTGATCCCAGTGTGCAGCCAAGATTGAGAATCACTGCAGCTCTTCGTTCTCCAACACTTTCATTTTAGTTGATGTATGATTGTGGTTCCATGGGCAGTGGAAGGAGAAATGGGGATGGAGCCATATTATACATCATGAAAACTCCCAATTCTATTCTTTCCTTCATTTCCTTTCCCTTCTCTTTACTCCCTGTAGACAGCCAGTATTCGCATCTTGAGAAGAGAGAGTTTCATTGATGAAAGAGTATCAACAGTATGTGAGGAACACTAGCAGTGCTTCTGAGGACAAGACTGTGCTGGTATCTTTTCCTTTCTCCTCCATTTCTTTCCCATTTATCAGCACCCAGCACTCTCTCTCAACTCTCCCTCTGCTTACATCAATTACAGGACAATGGGCTTGTCCCACGATGCGGGAAGGATGGGTATACCATGGGAAGAGGAAAGAACAGGGCTTGATACTCCTCCAGCTAATTAATGACCAGGGGAAAAGGAATGCCAGTCACGGCCCACCTAGGGTGCATTTAAGCACATAACATAGACAACAAAAACTGAAGGTATTGAGAAATGCTGAGTTGTAAAAGCATAATTATATATAAAAATTTTGTGAAAATATTACATCTTAATTGAAAGCTAAGTTTTTAGGTTATATCTTTCTGGTCCATCAAAAACTGGCAATACTGAAAAATGTGAAAATTCACAGAATAAAAAAATTTACCTTGTTCCACAGATGTCTAAATAAGAGCAAATGTAAGTAGAACATTATGAGAGTTTAAAAAAAGAAATTGAAAAGTAATATTTTTGTATATTCTACTATATCCTACCTTCATTTCTGAGTTGTTTTAAACTATGTGTGTGTGTATATATAAATTATTATATATAATATATACATATAATAAATATATATGATTTATATTAACATATAAAATTATATATACTGTATAATTAAATACATCTATAATATATAAGTATATAATTTATGTTTTTATTTTATATATACTTATATATTTATGTATTATATATATAGGTATAACTAATAAATTATATCTATAATAGATATTATAGGTATAATTTTTATAAATTTATATCTATCTATCTATCTATCTATCTATACATTATTTTTTGAAACAGGGTCTCACTCTGTCACCCAGGCTGAAGTGCAGCGGCACCATCTCGGCTCTGCAACCTTCCCCTCCAGGGGCTCCCAGGATCCTCCCACTTCAGCCTCCTGGGTAGCTGGGACTACAGGTGCACGCCACCACACTGGGCTAATTTTTGTATTTTTTGCAGAGATGGTGTTTTGCCATGTTGCCCAGGCTGATCTGGAACTCCTGAGCTCAAGCCATCTACCTACCTCGGTCTCTCAGAGTGCTAGGATTACAGGCGTGAGCCACTGCACCCAGTCTAAACTACTTATATTTTTTAAAATATAAGTTTTAACTTCTTTGATATTTATTAGCAAAGTCTTTTTTAAATAAATAGTGACATGAAAGATGCTTCAGTAGAAAATAACACTAATAAAAGGAAATAGTTCAATTACAAAGGTAAGGTCAAAGATTTGTGTACAAAGATATCCATCCCATTATTATTTATATGAGCTAAAATGAAAAAGGATTTGAAAATCTCACAAGAAGGATAAATCTACACTGCAAAATACTGTTACGTTTATAATTATTTTTAAAGAATATTTAAAAGCTAACACCAAATACTATCAGTCAGCTACTATTCCAAGGGATTCTTATATTAACTGATTTCATGTTGTCAACAGTCCTATGAGGTAGTTATTATTATCATCAACGTCTTACATTTAGGGAAACAGAGGCACAGCAAATTTAAGTAACTTCCAAGGTGATGGAGCTGGGATTCCAAATCCAGGCAGCCTTCCTCCAGGTTTAGTGCCTACAGTGATAGACCCAGATTCTATGAGGATTGATGCTGATGCAATTTACAGGACTCCCTTTAACAAATATTCTACACAATTGTGAGTAGGCACAATTAGGTACAGAGGCTTCGAAAGGGTCTATTAATGGGAAGGTACCTGAAACATAAGCTTCACCAGATTCAAATGAAATCCACTTTTAATACAAAATATAATACCGTAATAGTATGCTAAGATAGAAACAAAAGACATGAAAGTATATATCCAGTACAATCTCAGTTTTGTAAATAATTTGTGAATATGCCTATTAAGAAAAATCAAAATATATAATAACGATTTACAATTGGTTGAAGAATATAGTTTGTGTTTTTTTTTCCTCTGTACATTGTCTAATTTTCCAAAATTAACATTTGAGGAAACCGAGGCATGGAAAATTTAAGTAGATGGCTATAAATTATTTTCATAGTTGAAAAAAAAACAAATATTATTTTAACTTAAAAGACCTAAAAGTATAGGAAGTATTTTGTCTAATAATTCTACCATGGAGAATCCAAGAATCAAGCTGAAAAAAAAAAAAGCATAAAGAGGGCAGAAGGTAAACAAGTAATTTACTCAAAATCACAGAATGTAACAACAACGTAGCATGGAATAGAATTTGGGTCTCTTCACTCTAAATATAGTGAATTAATGCTGATTAGTAAAAAGGGTTTAATAAACAAAAGAAGAAAGTAGTAGTCTCTAAAGCACAGCGTGCTGTCTATAAAATAATAGTCCCCAGGATGGTTAGGTAATTATTAATTGATAATATGATCATCTGCAGTTTTGGTATTGTAATGAATGCTTTTTAAAATATAGATAATTTCCATCTATTTCTTGGCAGAGAAAGGATTTCCCAAATTGATGTAATCAGGAGACAATAAAATTTCATTGTTCATTATTATAGATATCAGACCAAACTAAAGAAAAAAAATCAATCTTAGATTTAAATGACTGTATGAATTGAAAGTCATTGCTCATTTTCTCTACAGAGCCTTTGGTGGGGATTTGATGAATAAGATGATAAACTGTGTAATTCTATAAATGTTTCTACAAACAATTTGAAAACAATAACCAAAGTAAAGGAAGTTAAGACACCTTTTACCACCTTTGCTCCTTACCATACACTTGGTTCTTATTGATGTCAGGAGTTAGAGATGGCTCAGCTCCCCAAGCCATGTCTTAGAAATCATTTTAGTCTTTAAATCTATCAACAGGAAAAAATATCAGGCTCATGTGGCATCACAGATGTCTTCATTCAAAGGTAATGAATATACTTTTGATGAATAAACAAACAATAGATATCCTGATGTAGTTACATAATGAGACAAAGTATTATTGTGTAAGAACTAAATGAAAATGAATAAATTTAATGTCAACCTAATTTGCTTAACATTGATTAAATTTATTTTGTCAGTTATTCACAGGATACTTCTCAAAGAAAAATGTCAAATTCATTAATCTCATGTTCTTGGAAGGCTATTTTACTTTCATAACATTGTCATTTGGAATGCAAGAAACAAAAAACAATCATCTTTAATCATTTGATAAAGTATCAATTAGTGACTGCCAGTACCTATTTGAAATTGTACAGGGTTGAATGTATGCAGGTCATTTTTCATCATGTTAAAATTATATTAAATTCTAGATAAGAATATGCTTACTTTGATACAGTTACATATTTTACAAATTTCAAATTGTTTATATTTCAATTTTTGAATTATATGGATCATTCACAAAAGTCTCCCCAAAAGGACATTCAGTTCAGAATTCAGTAATTTTCAAAAATAATTATTCATGCCACAGGCTTATTATTTCACACTTTAGTGGATGTTTTATATTTTTTGTTGTTATTAGTTGTATGTTATATAGTGATATAATATCATTCTTATTTTTTTCCTCTGATGTGTGTCATAAAAGCCACCCATCAGCAATCAGCATTGTTTACAAGAAGGTATCTGAATATTAAAAATTGGTAATTTCTGCAAAATATAGCCTTAATACAGCTCTGCTTTCAGGGAGGGAACTTATTTAAAAATCTCAGCAAAGCTTTGCCCAAACAGCAGTCTTTTGTTTTTTGGTTTTGTTTTGTTCTCTTTTAAATACCTTGACCTGGGAATAGGTAGCTTCTGTTGTAAACGTGACTCCCTCTGTGCCCATCTCTCCCCTCTGTTTTTGAACTGCTGATGGTAATGAATCTCCCTCTTCCAGCGCCAACTGCTGCATTCAGTTATCATCAAGAGCAGACATCAACCAGCACTCTAATCTTGCTCTGATGGATAGAATACTAACCTTTCACAAGATTAGAGACACAAGGTGCTGTGGAGATAATAAAATTCAAATAGGTTTATTTCAAAGGGCAACCCAATCTCGCTTTTGTTCATGGGTCACTTGACAGATCATTTGCCAAAGTAGTTTTTGTATCTTTCCAAGCCAGGTTCTGGTTCAGTGTGCCAAAGATGTCAAATTAAGTGGGTCCCCAAAGCCCCAAAGCCTACAGTTCCAAAGTACAAACAGGAAAAGTTGGGAATAACACTATTTTATTTCATGTGAAAAAACTCTATTGGCCAATAATTTTAATTTTGCTTAAGTCATACCTAATGTACTCAAGAGACAAATCAAGGCTGACCATGTTGAAAATACCAATGATTTAGCATAACTGCTGGTATTGTGATCCTTAAATATAAATTTCAAAAGATTAGAGATTTTATTACAAATAAATATCTAATGAAAATAAAAATCAATAATTAAAACATGCTTTTAAAAACACTTTGTGGATATCTGCTTAACATTTTTCTAGAAATATGTCAAGTAATATTTGTTAATGGCATAAATCTAGAATAAGCGCTGTATAAATAAGAAGTGAAGGACCAGGAATAAAAGCAATTCCTCAAATAGCAATGAGTAATCCTCAACAAAAGTTTCCATGTATTTCTCCTGTCCACTATCTTCTCATTATTTAAAATTACCTTCTGCCACATATGAGCCTGCAGATACCTCCTAATAAGAAAATGGAAAAGAAAAACCAAAAGCAGTTACATGTTAAGAAGACACCTAGAATGTGTTAGTCACCAATAAGATACCACTGGCAAAACTATTGTAAGAGTAAGAGATAAAACATTAAAATCTAAAGAACATTAATAATTATATACCACTGCACACAATATTGATGATACATATATGATCTTTATATTTAATTTTGTTTCTTAAATGATTAAGGCTCTTTTTGCAAGGTAGTATAAAAGTTTTGCTCATTTTTTAAAAAAAAATACACTTGATAAACTATATTATCTTATAAAGTGAGAAAATTAAATTTATATATGATACATATATAAATTGTAAAAAGTTATTTAACATCTGAAAAATCCTTCATTAAAAGATAACTTTGTGGTTACCAATACTTTATTTATTTTAAATATCATGGTCATCCCATTTTCCTCAAGATATTCTTAAATCAATAACAATTAATTATCCTTACTATTTTTTACTAATTAAATAAGGCTTTTAAAATAAAACAATTATAATCAATTGTATCTTTAAGATAAAATGTTTAGCAGGGTTCTTTTGCTATTTCATTTCAATATCGCAGCTGGAAAAACATCTAAAGCAAATTCTTATTATAAATAAATATGAGATTACATTATCCCCAGAAGTTATGCAAAGTTCTCTCACCCAGGCTGGAGTACAGTGGCATGATCTCGGCTCACTGCAACCTCCACCTCCAAGTTCAAGCGATTCTCCTGCCTCAGGCTCCTGAGTAGCTGTGGGATTACATCCACCTGCCACCATGCTCTGCTAATTTTTGTATTTTTAGTAGAGACGGGGGTTTCACCAAGTTGATCAGGCTGGTCTCGAACTCCTGACCTTATGAATCATTCCATTTTTTTCATTTATCTGGTAATATACATTTTATGAGGTTAAAATTATTATATTTTACTGAGATACAGAAACTACCAAACTATATACTACTTTCCCTGTGCAGGGGAAATGTCAGCTCACAGTAGTTCTAAATATCTAAAGCAGTCCTGTAGAAGAGGAGAGATGGATGCCCAAACACAGCCTCTGAATACGATTATTTACATATCACAACATAAGTGGAATGATGCATTATTGACAATTAGTGACAATCCTTATTCTCTTGGCTTTATCAAAAGTTGAGAGACAGGCATATACCAGTACTCTTGACCTAAGTTTTCTCATCTCTAAAATGCAAATAATAATAGTCCCTTCCTGATAGAGTGTTATGAGAATGACATGATATACATGAAGCAATTAGGAGAGTGTGTGGCACAGCACATAGTAAGCACTATATAATTACCAATTATTATTAGTTTCTCAAGAACGAAACACTTGCTAATAACAAACACCCTTGGTCATTATTATCCATTTAAAATTTATCTTGGCATATAAAAAATGAACACTACTTTTCTCAGGATATCAGTCAAATGGGGTCTTCTGAAGGTATCTTTATTAAGAGAAGTGAAAAAATTGCATTTGGCAACAAAAGCAGGTGGAATGTGTTAGTTATGTGATATCCTTGATTAGAAAAATAATTTAAGGGAAATTAAACATATTCTTGTAAAACCTGTATATCCTTCACTCAATTTTGAGTTGATCAACCACCTTCCCCTATATGTGGGCTAGTGTGTAATTATCAGATCTCCTTCTTTTTTTTTTTTCCGAGACAGAGTCTTGCTCTGTCACCCAGGCTGGAGTGCAGTGGCACGACCTCGGCTCACTGCAACCTCCGCCTCCCAGTTTCAAGCAAATCTGCCTCAGCCTCCCAAGTAGCTGGGACTATGGGCACCTGCCACCACACCGAGCTAATTTTTGTATTTTTAGTAGAGACAGGGTTTCACCATGTTGGCCAGTCTGGTCTTGAACTCCCGACCTCGTGATCCACCCACCCCCCGCCCCCCCCCCCACCGCCTTGCACTCCCAAAGTGCTGGGATTACAGGCGTGAGCCAACGTACCCAGCCCAGATCTCCCTCTTTATGGTCTTTCAGTGACTGAGACCTAAATATAACACCACTTCACTGAATATATAAAATGGCTTTCCCTTCTCAGTAATCAAATGACATTGTTGATATACGTTGGTGCCAAGGTCAGCTGAGATATGCCTCATGTCTTTCTCTTATAACAGTAAGTGTGGCTGCAGGGTAGGGATGCAATATGAGGCAGGGAAAGTAGTTGATACTGATGTGCACAGAGCAGCTTTATTTTCACATTTTGCATGTATGGGATTTAATAAGTTTCTTTTTGTTTCCTTACACATATTTTTTAGCATTAATCACACAGCAATTCCTTCCCAATTAATTTAGATCATAATTTTAATTAGTCAAATTCACTTTGCATTCTCAATCTTCTTTTCAGAAATTCTGGCAAAGAGGCTCTAACAAAGCTGACTCTGCCTCAATCCCCATGAATACGCTTTGCATTCTCTCATGAAACCATTTGTTAGGGGGAAAAAAAAAAATCCGATCCACAGTCAAGCTTGTGGGGAATGTCTACGTAAGCCAAGCCTTGTCCTCACACTATTTACTGACCAAATCTAAGAACATTTTCTTAACCAGTTCAATAGCTACCTGATTATGATACTACCCAAGCCATTTTCTGCAAGCTTGTCAATGACCAGTCCATGTGAAATAGCATTGACAATGATGCAGATATCAAACTGGGCTGTAACCAGTGGATCTTTCAGTCTATAAGATCAATCACTCTGTCAAAGAGGGAAATTAGTTTTGTTGGGCATGGCTTGTTTTTGAGCAGTCCATGTTCCCTGTCACTTTGTCACACTCTGGGTGCTTGCAAATTGATTGTGGAATAAATTGCTCCTGACTCTTTTCAAGAACAGGCCTTAACCTTTTAAGTAATTAATTGCCAGATATTTACTTCATTTTCCTTCTGTACCATCATCTGGGGTGACTGTCCTTTCCCCAGTTTCCTGAATCTGTGCCCATCCACCATAAATCTGCAAATTCACTTAAATGAATACAAGGTAATTTGATGTTGCATTTGATGTGGCATTAAGTGCTACACAATTGTTGACTTCAAAGTCAAATACATAAATCACTGCTCATGGAAAGAGGAAACATTTCTTCTGAAATGGTTTGAATACGACCATGCAGTCAGGTTCAGATATGTGAAGATAAAACAACATTAAGCAAACTGGTTATCAGTTTCTTATCAAAACTATGTAAGTAAGAAAGAAAATATACATATGTATCTACATAAGATGAATAAAAACTTAAAGCAAATCCTGGCTTTTGTTACATATCCTGCTGTGATATTTTGCAGATCCAGGCATCAGCTAATGTTTTCCCCAAGAGCAAAATATTCCACAATACTTAATATTGCACACTTGGCTTTAGACTTTGGGCATTAATTTTGAATTTCTTTACTTTTAAGAGGTGAATCAGATCTATCAGAATTCTTTAATGCCCTTTTTTTGTCATTCATTTAATTACGGGCCATAGCCTGAAAGGTAGCACAATGACAATTTATCAACTAGTTTAGCTCTCCCACAAGAAAATGTCATCCCTTTCATCTGAATTTCAAAGCAGCCATATGGTCAATGGGCCTCCTAAAAAACAAACAATAGTCACCTTCGAACAAAAGCAACTTTAAAGCCAGGACTGAAACCATTTCAAGTCTATTTCCAGTCATCACATGCTTGAACCTCTATTATCTCATTTGGGTTTGTGCAGAAATCTAAGACGACCTACAACACAACAATGGGGACAGCTCCATTTCATTTAGAAAAGTGATAGAAAGGTGGCCAGATGAGAATATAGTGAAACGGACTCAATGTAGCTATTGAATCTTGAATGCTTTCCAAATCGTCTGAAGCTGTTTCTACAACAAAGTTCTTTTTCTTTCTTAAGACAAAATTAGACATGTCCTGTGAGTGTCAGCTGAGCCTAAACAGAGATTCAGAATTAAATTGTGCCTGATTAAAACACTGGTGGGCCACCAGCCTGAGACAATATGCGTAGGGAAGGAGGGGTTGGGGGAGCTTTCTTTAAGAACAAAGTTTTTTGGATGGGTGTCTGAGAAAAGCAAGGAACTCAGAGACCAGTTTAGTGTCTATGCCGAGTCCTTCCCCATGGAAGAGATCTGAGGTCAAGGAAGAGCAAGGAATGTAAATTAAAGTTGAGCAGTTCTTATTTACTTGAAACTTCTCTGGGGCCAGGTACAAAAGTGGGCTTCTAAGCTATACGTTCCAACTAAACACACGCAGTAGACCCCAGTGCAGTAATGACCAAGGGAATGCAACTCCAGTTACTACCTAGAAAGTATAGAGTACTGGGAACACCAGCAAACAGAATCCAGGCAGCCAAGCAGCATTCTCAAGAGTGAGTGGACAGTGGTGGCAGCTGTCAGTTGCCTCCTGCACGGGGCTTGTAACTGGCAATAGAGGCCAACGAGCAGGGCAGAAATGGAGAAGTGGTAGTGGGCACATATGTGCAAATGTTCCAGGTTCAGCGAGAAACAACTAGAGAAACTGATGGGGGACAAGAAGTGGCTGCCAAAGGTACCTCATTTAGGGAGGAAGGGTGTCTTGCTTATGAATTACAGATATCAATGTCACTGTATTTTAAATTATACCCTAGAGTCAGAGCCAGACATCCACAATTCATACCATGGCCCTTAAAATCCTAAGATCTGAAACAAGAGCCTTTCATTATGCAAATTGAATTTAAAGAAAGTCTTAACTGAAATGAAGAAAATTAACCCACTAATCACATTTTGTAAACTTCTCTTCTTCCTGATTCACAGTATTAGAAATGGAAATGCGTATGGTCACTGATCCTGGGAACTCTATCCTTTATTTGCAGGGCAAGGAAGGTAGCCATCTGACTTGGCAGAGAATGCAATGTGTTTAGATCTGAGGAGTGGAAAGAAGGGAGAGGCGTATTTGCCAGGTAGTTACAAGACTGATAGTTTTTCAGAGTCGCAGGATCTAAAGTAAATCAATACAATCTGTTGTTCTCTTAAAATGAATATATTTCTACTTTCTTTTGTCTTCATTCTCTCTCCTATTCTTTCTCCTATACTTTCAAAATGTGTGTAGAATTCAACCACCCTTCACTAAGTCCACAGGCACTTCTCTGATGGAGCCGCCATCATCTCTCACCTGCCTTACGTCTAGGTTTCCTAGCTATCTCCTTGCTTCTATTCTCAGCTCCCTACAACTACCTTGCTGTTTACTGGTTATCTCTACACATGCTCCCCAAACAGGAAGCTTAAAATAAGGGTCATGATCTTTGGATGGTTGGTTCTGTTCTGATTTAGCTCAAGCTCACCATAAAGAGTGTCTGAAACACAGTAGGTACTCAGTAACTATCTGTAGAGTGAACTCATCCTCACTCATACTTTCTGGAATAAACTTGCTTTCCATAGGAGTTCTGTGTTTAATTACATACAGTTCATATTAACAATATGTAAGTTCAAAGTCTGTCACAGTGGCTGGCATTTGTATTTTTTGACAGGAACTAAAACTTTAAAAATTGAATGAAATATTTCAGCTCACATTAAAGGAAACTTAGTTATCCAACAGATTATTTGGAAGACAAATGTTGAGGATAGAAGACCTTGGCTGAAAGCATCTCATATAGAGAGAGGAGTTATTATGTACTTAAAGATCAGGCTAATTCTTACAATTTACATGATATTTTTTCCCTTTTCCTTTGTGTATACCTGTTAAATTAGCACTTGGAGTCTTTAGATAAGGCTCTTTACAAGAGCATGTGTGATCTTTACATGTGTCATCTTTACAAGAAATATATTTTGTGTAATATTCAGAATAGGATGAAAATGTTCTAATTTTTAAAATTGTTTTTACAACTTACACATAGAGCTATATAGTGTATAGTAATAACTATCCCATTAATCTAAATTAATCTAGTCTTTGCTGAATAAAATGTTAACATTTAGAACTGAGGTTTTATAACCAAGAAATTATTTGGCCTCCTTTGTATTATACAGACACTAGGGTGACTCAGGAAAGTGAAGTGTAAGTGGCCTACTTAATTTCATAAGTACAATGTTGTCTAAGTCACCCATCTACTCTTCATTAAGTCAGACTCATAATTTAAAACAAAATTATAATTCCTTAAACTGTTGCCTTTAGGGGAGTGACCGATGTCCCAGAAACCTCTTTGTCATGGATACAGATTACTGAAGACAGCATAGCACTGAATTAGAAGGGAAAGGGTCTTGAGTTTCCAGTATGTTCAAGTATATAACCTTTTGTAAGACATTTGATTATCTGTGAATTTATTTATCGCAAGTGAGTCTACTACTACCCTACGGGAGTCTACCATACACCAGTGTCAAGCCGTCACAGCCTTGAAGTATTTCTATCAAGCATTGAGTGTTTTTCAAGAGGAAGTGGACAGAAAGAATGCAAAAGTCATTGGCCTCTGTTAGACCAGTGGCTCTCAAAGTGTGTTCCCTGGATCAGTGGTGTCAGAACCAACCGGAAACTTGTTGGAATGTAAGTTCTTGCCTTCATGCCATTTTGTCTGAATCAGTAACTCCAGTTCAGGCACATCACACACTTCCCATGCCCACTAAAACTACTGACAATTTCATTTGGCCAGCCTCTGTATGTGGTACTTTCAACAACTAATTGACTTTATCAAATTCCCCTGAGGAATTACGTCTTGGGAATCTGTGCTTACCTTCTGAATTTGTCCACAAATCTTTAAATTTTCTAACACCCAAAAGAGATCTTTCCTTAAATCTCACCTTTCTATAATCCCAGTCATTTTTATTCATTAGTGGAGAACACCTGTAACAGCAGGAGCTACTTACATTTTAATTGTTTCTTGTTCCTCTAAATTGCTTGTCATTATAAAAGAAATGACAGAAGTGAAACGGGAGAAGAGCAATGTGGCAAGAAGTGTAAAGCCCATTTCCAGTGTTTAATTGCTATACAATGCTAAGAACAGATTAAAAAGATAAATCAAAAGTTTGCTGAAAAAAGTGAGGCCCCCAGTCAGTTTTATGGTTTCATTTGAGCTGCAAAGATATTATTATACACTCATTTACAAAACAATAAGCTCTTACTGTTTATGAAAGTTTAATCTCTTGGTTTATTGCCTTAATATATTTCACATTGGTAAGGTTTACTTTTAAATGAAATTTCTGACTGTCTTATGTTGATGTTATTTTATACTGAGAATACAGACAGGATGAGTATAACATCATAATTGTATTCATCTATGAAGCAATTAGAGTCAGGGTAATTGCTTCTAGTTCTCACATATCTGCATACAAAGTAATAGAATTAATATTTTATCATTTGGCAGTATCCCTTGTTAGCTAAGAATCCTAACATTGTATATTTTATCTGTCTGTCCACAGGAATTTAAGCAAAACCTAGATTAATATTTACCTCAATCTAGAACTGTGCCAAGTGGGCCGGATGTGGTGACTCACACCTGTAATCCCAGAATTTTGGGAAGCCAAGGAGGGCAGATCACCTGAGGTCAGGAGTTCGAGACCAGCCTGGCCAACATGGTGAAACCCCATCTCTACTAAAAATACAAAAATTAGCTGGCCATGGTGGTATGTACACCTTTAATCCCAGCTACTTGGGAGACTGAGGCGGGAGAATTGTTTGAACTCAGGAGGCAGAGGTTGCAGTGAGCCGCGACTGCGCCATTGCCCTCCAGCCTGGGTGACAAGAGTAAAACTCCATCTCAAATAAAAAATAAAAATGAATAAAATTGTGGCAAGTGAAAAAAAAATTATACGTTGTCCCCATTGCTCAACATATGCATCCAGCCAATGCACAATGGAACAGAGGCCCATGAACATACTCTCCAAATTGAGTAGACTAATGACAACCAAGGTGTGGCTTAAGAACCTCTCCTCCATTCCCGGTTATTTTCCAAGTGATCTCAAGGTTGCCAGTAAGCATGCATTCCATGGTGTTCAAAGAAAAGCATTCTTATTCAAAATATGTGTAGCTGATTTAATACTGAAATTTCTATAAAAACATCTTTACAGGTTTCTACAAAGAGAAAATTGAAAGAGCCAAAGAAGGAGAGCACAGTGACCTAAGGCATAGCGTGGTGAATGACTGACGAGACTCAAATCCTCAGCCAGAATCCACAGGACTAAGAAGGGCTAAATGAGGACTTATAGCCTCATTTATTTTCTAAGAAGCTTAGGCTACAGGGAAAGAAAAGGAGCCATAAATTAAATGGCACTTTGCTTGAATAAAAGGGGAACAAATGAGGGAATTAAGTTGAAACCAGCAGCTGAAATACTGGGCCAAACCTAATTGATAGATAAGCCACATTTCAGTGGAAGTACTAAACAAGATTGGAGGGGATGATCAACAATTCTGCTCCTTCTTTTTAGAATACGCAAACAAATATATTTAATGGAGAAAGGCATAGCTTAGAATTAGCAGTGGCTAAAAACTATGTATGAACTATGTTATACATATAATGCACGCCATATAACTACCCATGCATTACATAGTTCAAGTAGTAACCTCTTATTAAAATGTAGTATATGATAGTCTAAAAATGAAACATTCTCTGAAAAGTTGGGCTACATTTTAAAAATATAATAATCTTTTAAAATGTATATGATTCCCCCAAACATTATTTTTATATATTCTTTCAAACTCTTAGCTCATTATTCTCCACCCATCATGATTAATTTACTTAACTGAAAGATGACTTGGTGATAGAGGGTGACAGGTATGTAATGTATGCAAAGCACTTAGAATACAGGGTGGCATAGGATATGTACTATATAAGTGTAATATGTTATTATATTGATAACTATAAGTATAGATTTAATAGAGATTAGTTAGAAAATCTTTCTACCTTTCTCAATGACATAATAGTGACACATTTGAGAACTGTGCCCTTGCTATTCATATGGGTTTTATTGTAAATTATTCTTAAACCTCATTACCGCTTTCTTATATTTGTTATCCTGGTTCAATTTCTCTATTAATCTATGTGGCTATAATTTTTTGTTAAAGAAAGAATAAATTTTTAAAGTACTTACTAGGTAAAATGATTGAATGTCACATGTAATAACTTTTGTTAAAAACTCATTTAATTTTTCAAAATGGTGGCCCATAAACTGCTGCTATGTTCTTTGGTCTTCATAACAGCTCTGCTAGGATGGAGAGAAGAAATGACCCTTTCTGTTCTCTAGTTCACGGAGACTCAGGGAGTTTTAAGTGATGTGCCAACGTCATGCAGCTATTACATGGAGAAGCCCAAACTGGACTGGAGTTCAGATATTGCCTGCAGCATAGTAGGAAACTAGGATAGTTGTCAAGAGAGAATCTATGGTTCCTGGTGGTTGATTTGGGATAGGCGAAGAGTAGACAGAATTTGTATATCTAACCCCTCTACTGGAGTTTGGGAGGCAGGCTCTGTTATTGATGGGTAGGGACTCAGGAGGTAACTACCTTGGAGTACAAAAGAACTTACTATGAAATATAATCTAAGTGGGAACACTAAGTTATGGCATGTAGATTTATTTAGTTTAGGATTATAGAATTAAAATAGTAAAATTAAAATGTTCTGGAGGTGGCTTGAGATTTGGAACCGACAGGTGAGAAGTACGCAAACTTGTCTGGATCTTGAAATGAAGCTGTAATGAACACATTCTTGAAGCAAATCAATAAAATAAATTTTAGGTCATGTACATATGTAATGGTGGACCCTACTCCTTACTTATATGTAAACAATTACAAATCATCAAGCTATCAGAAAATTGAAAATGTATGCCTTTTCTAGAAAGAGTGAAAACACACTTTTAAAGAGAATTATTAAACTTAGCATTTAAAATTTTAGGCTTAATTGGTATAACATTATATGAAAGCCTCATCCATTTTTTTTATTCAATTCCATCAGAAACCCAGAAATTAACCTATATCTATCTATCAATCAATTTATGCTATGCCTTTTTAAAAACAGTTTTATTAAGATATAATTCATATACTTCCATACAATTCATCCATTTAAATTATAAAATTCAATGTTTTTAATATATTCACCTATTCATAACTGCTCTAGGATGTGCAACCATCACAACAATCAATTTTAGAGCATTTTCATCACTCCAGAAAGTAATTCCATACACATTAGCAGCCGTTCTGATTTTCTCCCAACCCTCTACCATTCCCCACCCCAGCCACAGACAATCATTAAGCTACTTACTAAATGGAAGAATATAGTGTGTGGTCATTGATGCATAGCTCTTTGCCCTTAGCATAATGATTTTGAAGTTCATCCATATTGCAGCATGTATCAGTATTTCACTTTTTTATGACTAAATAATATTCCACTGTACGGTTACTCCACATATATTTAGCCACTCACCAGTTAATTGATATTCTGGTTATTTCTACAATTTGGCTATTAAGAATAATGTTGCTATGTGCATTCATATAGAAGTTTTTGGATAGATGTATGCCTTTATTTCTTTTAGGTATATACTTAGTTGTGAAATTGCTGGGGAATATGGTAATTCTAGGTTTAGCTTGTGAGGAACTGCCAAACTATTTTTTGTAGGAGCTGTATCATTTTGCATTCCCACCAGCAATGTATAAGGGCTTTAATTTTTCCACTTTCCCACCAATACTTGTTGTCATGTCTTTTTTTATTATCACAATCATAATGGGTAGGAAAAGGTATCTTATACTGGTTTTGATATACATTTTTTACTGGATAAGATAACATATTTCATATTCCCTATTTCTATATCTTCTTTCAAGAAATGTCTATTCAAGTCATTTGCCCATTTTTCAATAGAGTTGTCTTTTCATTGTTGTGGCATTAGAAGAGTTCTTTATTATTTGTATATAATTCCCTTATCAAAGACATAATTTAAAAATATTTTCTTCCATTCCATTTCCCCCTTAGGACTCATAATTTTGCTGTGGCTTAAAGATTATAAAACAGATTAGGAAATGAAAAAGTAAGAAGCTGCTCTAGGACGGGTTAAACAATGTCAGCATGAATGCAAGAATACTAAACTCAAAATATAATTTCCTTCCCTCACACAATAGTCAAGCTCTGGAGCCTTTGTTTCACAGTTAATGAAAAATAACATGTTTTCAGACTGTGGATACATGAATACTAAAAAGTGATGATAAAAGTTTAGTCTGGAGTAGAGAAAACTCTTAATTGACAAACTTATATTAAAAAATCAGAACAATAAGCTTTCTTCTATTATCCTAGGAATTATTTCTCTCTCAGGTGTTTCTCTAGTCTGCTTCAAATATATTTATTTTTCATAGGTCATATTACTGAACTCTGTCCAAGAGACATACCATTTTTCATGCCATCACTTTTCTTTCTTCTGTAAAAGGTTATTTTCAGCCCCAGCATGGTGGCTCACAACTGTAATTCTGGAGAGGCTGAGGCAGGAAGATCACTTGAGCCCAGGAGTTCAAGACCAACTTGGGCAATGTAGTGAGACCCCTGTCTCTACAAAAAAACAAACAAACACCTTAGCCAGGATTGGTGGTTATACACCTTTAATCCTAGCTACTTGGGAGGCTGAGGTGGAAGAATGGCTTCAGCTCAGGAATTTGAGGTTGCAGTGTGTTATGATTGTGCCACTGTACTTCTGGGTGACACACTGAAACTCTGTCTCTTAAAAAAAAAAAAAGTACTTTTTTTGTGTGTGCTTTATTTTGACAATTAGATGTAGGATTTTATTCGGGAAGGGGAAGTGTCTGAGTGATAGCAAAAATAACAGTTGAGTATCCATATCCAAGTATCTCCAGTTATTACAGAACAAAGCAAAACAAAATACAGAGAAAGGGAATACAGGAAAAAAATTGCCATATTTTGGAACAAGATGACAGAAGATAAAAGACAAGGCATAAACTGTATAATGATAAAAGTATGTCCCTTTGATTTCTCTTTTATATTATCTACTTACAGTGAAAAAACAACTGTCATAATTAATAGTAAAAATTAAAGTAAAAATAAAACTACTGGGAACTTTTAAACTTAATCTCTTAAATACCTACTCAAAGGGGGAAATTTAGTATACTACCTATTGAAACAATTAAAAGAGAAACATCTTATTTATTAGTTCATTCATTCATTTGCAGCATGAAGAAGATTCAGAACATTAACAGGAAGAATGAAGATTATTGAAGGTAGCAATGTATGGAATTTCAAGGTTTGGGAATTCTAAGATGAATTGGTTAAGCATGGAAGGTACTTACAAGGAAGTCAGGGAAATGAAGCTGGAAGTTCATTTATGTTTTACCACTTTTTCAGGTTTCTCCTATTCCTACATTTACAAAATGTGTAAGAATTCCCAATTGGACCCTTCAATAAACCAACATGAAACAATAAAATGGACTAGAAATCTCCACCTTCTTTTTTCAGTCAACATTTCAATTTTTCTCTCTTTTTGGCTTGGATAGGTAGAAAACTCTCTCTTCTGAGGAAATGGTACCAGCACATTTACCAGGAATGGGGAGCAGTGTCAACTACTAGAGCCAGGCACTGAAATGTCCCTGGAGGATTTGGGCGAGTGAGCAGGACAAAGCATATCCTATCCTGCTTCAGGGGTCAGACATTTCGACAGTGTCTCACCAAAGAGAAAATGAAAAGATGCTCAACATTGAAAAGCACTGAGGAAGAATCAAACCCACTCCCTATCACCACTGTCAGAAAGCAGATATGACCATTCTACACCTTTTGAGAAGCAAAGAGCTGTTTGTATATTCTTTTGTCTTCTTTGTTATCTTTAGTTCTAGTCTTTATGTTTAAATACATACAGCCTGAAAAGACCCTGGAAAAGATAACTTGTTCCCAGTGACACAACCCTCTGACAGAGATAGCCTGGAGACAATATAGAACAACAATATCTGCCTGCTGTGATACTCAATCCAGAAAAGCAAACATTGCAAGTGTCTATTCAGGCAAACCATATTTTTACCAAACAGGTATCAATGCTTTTTATTAGACTTTTTCAGAATTTTGGCCACAGTCTCTATCGATCTGTTGGCCATTTTAAAAATAACTGTGCCATTCAGAGTTTCTAGGCTCTGACTTGAAGCAGATTTAATGCCAATGCATACCATCCATCCAAACTATTTTTATCCTACCCTATACAACAAATAACTCAAGAAGTTTAAAAATAATACAAACTTATAGCACTGGCAGGCAGATTCATGAATAGGAGAAATGTTCCATAATATTGGGAAATGTTAGAATATGAAATATGGGAGATGAGTGCATCTAATTTTCTAGGTTGATGTTCACACTGATAGGATAATTTTTAGTGCACATTTTGAATTCAATTTTCTTTATTTTAACAAAACATTTTATGCACATTGCTTACAGATGGAATAACTTGCAAAAACATAATCAGTTTTATAGGCCACATTCTCATAGAAAATCACACAATTCCAGTTCACATTAAATGCTTTTCTGGCAAGCATAACATGACATGGAAACCTGTTTATGTTTGCGCTAGGTCACTGACTTCATACAACATAGAGGTTTGTCCTGACACTAATCTCTGCTCTAAAGACAGTTTCCCTTTCTCTTTGGGATGCTGTTTGAGACGACATAGAGATCATAGTGAAGTCTGAGTAATTCCTGTGTCCCAGAGATGCTGTTTCCTCAAAAATCTTCAATTCCACCCTTGAAAAAGCCTCAGTTAGGACCCTCTAAATTTTAATTCAAGCTGACGAGCACATTCACTCTATATTCAGCTTTGCCCATTATGAATAAGCTCTGGTCTTTATGGTTTAAGCTCCACAGTAAATGTATCAAATGGTAGCAATGACACATAAGATGCAGTTTAAAAACTAATATATAACTCATGTAAATATATAATCTCAGAAAAATCTCACTTCAAGTTATTTTGTCATAGTTGTTATGTACTCTTGAGTAAGAGAGGCCTTTCTAGTATCTTCATTCTTAAAATACAATAAATGCACACTTGAAAGATAAAGCCAATATTACGTGATGTAGCAGCAATCACGGTCAATGTAAATCGTGTTAATGGATGAGAAATGAAGGTATCAGAAATGTAAGCTCCATGAGTTGAAGGATGATGTCTGTCTTGTTCACTGAGTACCCACAACCCAGGCTACTGTCCACCACATGCAAATGTTCTGTAAATATGTACTAGAGTACATGAAAGTGGAATTTTTTCCACTAGATAGTAACTTCTTTAAGACAGCCTACTGAATCTAGGGATCCCTGCCCCACTACCTGCCCCAGTGCCCAGTGCAGTTATGGCTGTGAAGAGCTTTTGATAAGGTCAGACTTTGGTTTACAGAGCCAGTCCCATGTAACATGCTTTCCATACAGTATCAGTAATACTCATAAACACTTAATCATAGGCATTTATACCATCTTTTACTGAAAAGGAACCAGAGACAAAGGAGTCATAGAGCAAGTTAAGAACTCCAGTTGTCTAACCCCAGATCCGATGTGCCTTCTACTATGCCAGATAATCCACCCCTCTACAATCTGTCAATATCTTCACTTTTAGTTTAGACCAATTCAATTACATTCCTTGCCAATAAATGATAAAGGATTAAGTGTCTGACAAACTGATAATTTCATATACCTCAGAACAGAAGTATCTAGCCTAAAATGAGAGATAAAAATTAGTATGTGGATTGTTTTATGTAGTTATGTAACCTTTTATAACTAGAAAAAGTTAGATATTAAAAAACAGTGCATGTATTAAATTTAACCACTGATACATATCATAAATCACTCAGATTTGAAAGGGTATTAAATTAGGGGGGAGTTCATGAAGCCAATGTTTTCAAATACCTAACACAACTATGACATTTATGCCTTTACCTAGTGTACCTGACTATAAACCTACTAAACTTCAAGAACTGGAGACTTCATAAAATGTCTAGATTACCAGAGACAGTAACATTTGCAGTTACTTTTGCTTGATTACACGGTGAATGTGAACTCGTCACTGAGAAAAAACAGATTTTAGTAGCAGATTAGGTGTTCAACACTTGGTCATGAAGTGATAAAATATTATCTTAAGACATATTACTATGTAGCTTTTTAACTTTTGTATATAAAATATAATTTTGCTAAGACATCTATGTGCTAACTAAATTGTTGTCACCATTTTTTTTTTTTTTTTTTTGAGACAGAGTCTTGCTCTGTCACCCAGGCTGGAGTGCAGTGGTGCGATCTTGGCTCATTGCAACCTCCGCCTCCTGGGTTCAAGCGATTCTCCTGTCTCAGCCTCCTGAGTACCTGGGATTACAGGCACACACCACCATGCCCTGCTAATTTTTGTATTTTTAGTAGAGATGGGTTTTCACCATGTTAGCCAGGCTGATCTCGAACTTCTGACCTCAGGTGATCTGCCTGCCTCAGCCTCCCAAAGTGCTGGGATTACAGGTGTGAGCTAACGCGCCCAGCCTGTTGTCACTATTGTAGGTGCACATTCAAAATGACCTTCTTACTGATAGCCATATGTGCTTTTTTCAGGGAAGGTATAGCATGTCTGTAGCGGAGAATTCACATAACCCTTCATAGCACAGCAAATGCATGATTTGCACTGCCTATAATTATTTGGCACTGCAAAATCTAACTGAATTGGACAAAATATCATCTGCCGCTTATTAAATCTTGTTTTTATATGGTAGACTGACCTAATTTTACAGGGTTTAAAATTCAACTTCTTATCACCTGTTTGGCTGAAACTTCCCATCAAATACTTCATGTCATTTATACATGTTCAACAAGTCAAGTAACTTGGTTCACAGAAGACCTATGCCAGTATTAAATCTAGTCCCAATTAGAAAATACAACTTTAAAGTTGTCAGTTCAGTTTCTCTTTTTCACACCTTCATCATCGCCATAATACCTGGAGCAGAGATGTGACATTATGTGACTTAGGTAGTCACACCCTAGACCTTGCCATTACTAAGTTACCTTCCATAACCCCATTTTCAAGCCTTCCACACTCTAGCTTGCCCCTTGTAACTCCCATCTCAACAATCCTTCAGGGAAGTACAAACCAACATAAAGTACAATTCATTATTCTACTGCCTTTCCTGTGCTTCCGTCCCTCAGAACCTCACTCTCCTCCTTACCTGACCCAATTCCAGGGCCTATTACCCTTGTTAAAACCAACTCTTGTGCAAACTAACAAAATTGTAACCTTTGTTAAAACCCACTGGAAATAGAGACCCAGAACATTTCACATGTTCGAAACAGTCACTCTGCTGTGACTACAGATAAAAAACACAGCCTTGTGGACTGATCTCAGTTTAAATTCATGGTCTCTCACCTGAAGTTAACACTTAAAATGTGGTCTGTCTGGCCTATTATATTTCTTTCTTCCCCATTTACTTTCTCTCTTAGGCCATTATTTCACACGTTCTCCTCTGTCTGAAGTTTATGAAATGACTCACATATACCCCAAGCTCCTCTGTAAGTAATAATGGGAGAACAAAAGAGCCACTTCCTTATAGTTAAACTGGCAACTCAAAATTCACTAATTCCCTTGCTCATTCATATATTCATAGAGGATTTATTTAGTGCCCAGTAGAATCATAAAATCTTAGGTCTGGAAGAAGCTTCCAAGCCTCTCAAATTATAGAAGAGGAGATTGAGGCTGAGAAATGTTCATTTTCATTTTCTGAACGTTGTGCGTATATGAAAGCTGTACTAGATAAAATATCTGTTCTCAGTTGGTTTCTTGCCTTAGCTTTGTCTAACCTCTGTGAAGATGGTGGAAAGGAGCCTATCATTCATAAGAAATTATACATATTTACCCTTGGTACACAATGTGACAACGTTCAGTGACATCTAATCACCCGGAGCCTGTTAGAAATGCAGAATCTCAGGTTCCGCCCTAGGCAAAGGGAATAAAAATCTGCATTTTTCTACCTCTCTATTAAATGACAAAGGGAACTATAATTATGGCCCAGCACCTTTTATTAATGCCCAGATTAACAGAAATAAATGTTCTCTTTTCTAGTGTTAGGCTACTTTTCACTTAAGAAAAAAGTTACCTCGTCTTTTTTTGTGGTTTTGTTAGGTTGTTGACTTGTGGAAATTCAGCAGGTATTCACAATTCATCCCTTTGTGTTTGAAAAAGTTAGACGCTTTGATTTTGTTGATACCAGAAACGGATGAAACTGGTGTGCATCAGGGCAAATCTCATACAGTTTAAATTAAGATTGTGCATCAGAGTTAAGATGAAAAAGCTTAAGCTCTTCTTGGAATGGCCAAGCCAGAGGCAAATCAAGCTTGGCACCATAGAATCCAATACGTGTTGTTTTATTCCTCTCCTAAGTACTCATACCTCTTTCACCCTTAAAAAAATAGATTTCACTTTGCAGCCAAGAAGAGGTTAAAGTCATAGCTTCATGTAAGGAGAGAAAAGGTTGCTGGAGGAAGGAGAAGCTTTCCTCCCCATCTTTGTTTTGAAATTACTTCTGAATCCCTCTAGGATTGGAAAAGCCTTCTCAGTCTTACTATCTTTTGATTTTTTTAATTTAACGTCATTTAATATGTTCAGAATGTCATTTTTTTCAAAAAACTTCATTAATAGTGTTTTCTATCAAAATGCTCACATTTCTTTAAAAGTAAACAGATGTGAAGCCTATTAGTACTGTGATTGCTAGGTCAAAGGAATATCATACACATAATTCCATGCTAAAAAAAAGTCCACTCTCTAAAATACTACGAATGAAAATAGCATGGCAAAAAGAAGAAATTGCTTTTTAAAAATATACTCTCATTAAAATACAGTTCTTTTTCCTCTGTTAAATGAAAAAATCCAATTACTAGACTGCTAATATGAGATTACAATCTTTTTAACAAAGTCCCTTGATTTTTTACCTTTTTTTTTCAACAGGGTCTCACTGTGTCACCCAGGCTGGAGTGCAGTGGTGCAATCATGGCATACTGCAACCTTGACCTCCCAGAGGAAAGTGATCCTCCCACCTCAGCCTCCCAATTAGCTGGGACTACAGGCACACGCCACCATACTCAGCTGCTTTTGGCTTTTTTTTTTTTTCTTTTCTCGGAGACGGGGTCTCCCTACGTTGCCCAGGCTGGTCTTGAACTCCTGGTCTCAAGTGACCTGGACTACAGGCGTGTGCCACCACACCCAGCCTTAACCCTTAAGAAAAATCAAAATCAATTTTCTGGATGCCTTTCCAACTCAAATTCCTAACTTTTCAAAATACTTCCCCATGTATTAAAATTCCAACACAATCTACAGGTCATGAGTACATACTGCAGTGTTCAGAGATGGTGATTGATTTGCCATTAGCAGTGAAGAGCCTTCTTGAACCCAATTAAGATGAATGATACCTACTAATATGTGAACTAGATATTTGAAATGGAAGTACACATTAGGCAATAGAATTTACATTGTTTTTTCTTTTAACATCTCTATCTTATTTATAAGTGTCTTGGCAAACATTCATAATAAGGCACCAATATCTTTTCAATCATCCTAGTCCTTTTGTTAATTTGTTTAGTCCTTACTTTCTAACAGATAAGGGATTGCTTTGTATAGCTTGTAGAAGATGAGTTTCTACATATATGACACATTTTGGTGCAGTTTTGTCAGAGGTGTTGAGTGAGGGCTAGGAAAACGAGGGACTCTGGAACTGGGCTGCATTCTCCAAAAGCTATTCCTAGCAGTTGAGGGAACAAATTGATAATGTTTGTTGAACAGACCTAGACTTGGGATTGTCTTGATATCCAGATGTCTTGAAAACAAAGGCATTCCTAATTTTGCTTTAAAGATAATAATATTGATTCTTGCAAAATATAGTAAGAAAATTAATTCTTTATCACAAACTCTTGTAGCACAGCACATCTCCCCACGATCTTTTTTTACCCTACATATATACAACTATTATACCTAGGGTAGATGTAATAAACTTGCTTTCACTTTGCACTGTGGACTCACCCTGAATTCTTTCATGCATGAGATCCAAAAATCCTCTCTTGGGGTCTGGATTGGGATTCCTTTCCTGTAACAGTTTGGTTCAACTAGAATCATTTCCACAACAGAATTTTTCACAGTCTATATGCTGAGAGCATTTGCCATAGAGTGGCTACCATTTGCTATGCTACCCAATCTCAGGGGGCTGATGGAAAAGAGTGATATAGTTTATAAAGCACGCTTGAAGAGCATGAAAACTTGAATCTATTTTTAAGTAAAATTTTTAAAGAACTTAAAATTGAAAATAAACTTCCTATTATTCACATTTACTGAGTGAATCTACAGCCATATTTGGTGCTTTAAACAACAGATTTTATCTGCCCTGTTTTGATCCTTGAGTATTGTGAGCTTTCTACTATAAGTGACTCTAATAGGCAGCTGTGAACATATTAGTATCCCCCCTGACGGGTCACACAACCAGTCATAATCCCAGTTGGAAATGCATACAAGGTCTCACGTACATTCCCTCCTCTCTCAAAGTGATGGCCCTAAAACAACTCTTTCTTTTTCCCCCCCAGAATGAAGTGGAAACTCTTCCTGTCTTTTCCAGATTTTCTTTTAAATGTGGTGTTTATAGCGCTGATGCTTGTGTATTAAACTAGAAAAACTGAGTCATTTAAGTGAGAGAGTGAGGCACTGTTCAGGAAGTGTGATTCTCAAACTTGGTCAGAATCACCCACAGGGTGTGTGAAACCAGATTGCTGGGCCCCACTCCCAGAGTTTCAGATTCAGTGTATCTGTGGTGGGACCTGAGAATTTGCATTTCTACCAAGTTCCCAGGTGATGCTTAGAGAACCACTATATAGTAACATCTTCCAGTCTGTGGTTTTTCTGAAAATTTGTCATAAATGTTTTATTTGGTTTATCCCTGGGCATTTAAAAAAAATGCTATTTCTCTTTGAACCATGTACTATCATAAAATCCATCATAAATCTGAAGTTGGAAATGAATGTGGAAAGGAGGTGAGAGAGAACAAATGCCAAGAGCTTTTGATAGTCTTGGGCTAAATCCCTCTTGCCTCCTGACTTTTCAAGATTTTCATTTGCAGTACTGAAATTATAATCCCTATGTCAAAGCAAAGCACAAACACGGGCATGATCCATGGAAAATGTTTAATAGAGACAAAAACATTAATAGACAGATAAAGACATTTGTTTTTATATTACCCAGTATTTCACACCATACTGACTTAAACTGAGAATAAACGACAAATGTTGAAAATTTCCTAGCAGAGTAAAAATAAAACTGTGGATTCATATCACAAAGACAGGAGTGAGTTTATTTGCTCAGTTTACTAAGAAAATCATCTTGCAATATGAAATAATTCTATAGCTTAGATATTAATATCTTTTTATTTGATAACTACTAGTATTTCAGACTTCTCCGTCATCTTCATCACCATCATAAAAGTAGTTATTAGGAATTACAAAAAGTTTTGGGTTCTATGCTCATAATTATTATAAGATATTCACATTTACATTAACATAAGATATTAATATTTGTGTTTCTCTTTGTGCACTAGCCCTCAGCACAATGTAGTGCACAAGGAAAGAGAATGCAAAAGTTAATTCATAATCTTAGCATGGAATTCACCAAAAAAAAGTCAAAAGTGATATTCTGAAATATATTTCAAGGCAAGGGGCTTTAAAATTTATTTAAATCTGTTTGTTTGTTTGTTTGTTTTTTAGGTTTTCTTAAGCTTTTTCACTCAGAGAGCATGAATAGTTTAGTATCTCACAGTCTTTCTCAGCAGGATTTCTCAACTGAAGCAGAGAGTGGAAAACCGGATTTCAGTGACTATTTTCTCAATTCTCCCCAAAATGTACTTAACTAGTACCATTCTAGAATTCATTCATAACATTAAATGAATGACTTAGTTTCACAGTTGAGAAAGGCTGAAGGATTCAATCCCATACTCCCCACAATGGGACAAGACATGATGTACAACAGATATCTCAAGATGTTCAGAACGTGACCTAGAAAATGTCTATCATAGACTAGAATGCCTTGCATTTTAATAGGTCCTCATTTCAAATCAAATTTCGCCGGCATTATTCTTGCAACAGTCTTGCCAAATCAGTAGTACTACTCCTCGTTTTATGGATGAGAGGTATGGGGGTCAGAAAGTTCAGAAACTGAATTGTCAGGGTCGCATGGCTAGCAAGAAGCAACTCAAACTCTGACTGTATGATGGGGTTGTTTTTCTTATGTGGGGCATATGTCCTTTCATTCCCCAATAGTTCAGCCTGTCCTGAGAAGCTCACCTCTACTGATCCATACACCCATGGATTTTACTGATTTTAGTTTAGTCTTGGTTATCAGGTCCTTAGGATGCAGGTTCCCACATCAGCATAGCTTGAGTACTCCCTTCCCTTGAAAGTAAGTGTGAAAACCACGTTTTCCCCTACAAAGCCTCATTATGCGACCTGATTCTCCCTTAGCATGTGGGAAGCAATTAAAATCCTATAGACCTGGGCTGGGTGCTGTGGCTCATGCCTGTAATCCCAGCACTTTGGGAGGCTGAGGTGTGTGGATCACTTGAGGCCAGGAGTTCAAGACCAGCCTGGCCAAAGTGGTGAAAAACCATCTCTACGAAAAATACAAAAATGAGCTGGACATGTTGGCACACACCTGTATTCCCAGCTACCCCAGAGGCTGAGGCAGGAGAATGGCTTGAGCCTGGGAGGCGGAGGCTGCAGTGACCTGAGATCACGCCACTGCACTCCCGCCTGGGCGACAGAGCAAAACTCCATCTCAAAAAAGAAAAAAACCCTATAGACCTGACCATTCAGCTGCAGAGAAAGCAGGAAAACCATTTAAGAGCTCTACTACCTTAGAGTTAGAAATTAGAGAAAACTAAGGATAGAGGCACAAACACACGCTGAGAGGTGAGAATATCACCTGCATGAAGGCAAGGTGGGGCTTTCTGCCCTCTGCTCCTCACTGCTAGAAAGAGGAAGCAGGTTCAATAGCATTTCCATTTCCTGTTAATTTTTCTAATGGCTAAGAATGAAAGGAATTATTTTTTAAAAAGACTGTATTTGATACATCACATTGGTACTACTTTAAACTTAATAGGTCATTCTTTAGAAAAAAAATCTTCAAAAATTCACAATTTTGCTTCGTTCCCTGTGTAAATCCTTAGGGAATAAGACTATAGATCGAAAATTAATTTCTAAGTACCCCTGGGAAGAGACAGCGATGCTAACAGATTCATTTGAGACAGTTAGAAGCACAATTTCACCCAGTGTTGTTTTCAATATCACAATCTAAACAAGTTTACAATCACTTTGAACTCTTTTCAAACGTAATGCCCCAGGAATAGTCTTCCAAACACTCTGGAAGCTAAAGCTGTCAACAGACTGTCAGTGTGTCAGCAGTGGCTTTTATATTATTTTTTAACAAAACAAACAGGAAAGTAAGATAACTCAAGATGTTTTAACATTTTAATTAATGTGCCATGAAAAAAAAAGAAAAAGAAAAAGAAAAACAACGAGGCCTGTGCATAGTTGGGACTACTCTTTGTGAAGCTCACATATAATACTATCTAGTCATATTTTTAGATATAAAGATTGGTGATAAACCTTGTTTCCTTTTGAATTTCTTTGGAAATAAATGTATAATAACTGCCTTTCACTTTAAACATTAATAGCTAAAATGGCCTACATACTATTTCAATTAATATACTTGAGTAGGAAAAAATTACATCTTTAAATAGTCCTGATTTGAACAAAAGTTTTAAAAAGTAAAGAAAAAAATGGTTATTTCTTGCACTGCAGTTTTTTACAAGACAGGGACTATTTCTACAGCCCTGGTCTTGCAAACTTCCTGGCATACAGTAGCAACCCAATGGTATTTTTGAGTGAATGAATGGATGAATTAATGTACCTGGAACATACATCAGAAGTACCAATGACACTGTAGAGCACACACAATAGGTATCGCTACACATTCATCGATGAATGAATCACTATGTACAGAACCAACATTTTACATTTCATTTGGAATAGAAATGCAGGGAGTGCGGGTAGGTGGGGTAGGGGGAACGGTTGAGGCTCCTCCATGGTTCCTCTTTTCAAAAACTAAGCATTTCCATAAAGTCCTCTGAAATAGCATGATTCAGTTAAAGTATTTTATTCTTTTCTCCAATTTGCTGTTCCCTGTGCCTGGAATTAATTTTCTGCCCTTCGCTGTCCATGTGAAAACCTTTCCTCTTTTAAGGCCGAGCTCTAATGCTTTCCTCTAAGCAGACATTCTCATTCTCCACTTCTCCATCCTCTGTACCTAAGAAGCTGCAGTATAACTCATGTGAATATGAATTATAACATGTGAATATGCTGTCTCTTCCACTAGGTTGGCCACTCCTTGAATTTTAGGACTGTGTCTTACTTGTCTTCATATTTTCTTTTTTTCCCAGAATAGTATCTTGAGGATACATTAGGCCTATGGTAAATTTTATTTAACAAAATTGAATTAAAGGGAGATAACTGGAGGTATGGTATCATCTATTAAAGTAAAGGAGTGTGTATGTGTTTTATTCCTAACTCAAAAGAGAGAATTGGTTCTGAATGCAAGAGCTTTTCCTCATGTTACCAATAATAAATCTGATATCCTCAAACCTAAGAGTTTCCTTCTAGGCTTTCTGTTCACTGGAATTGGAAATTGGACTAGTTATGTCTTTCTATTTAAATATACATGTAACTGTAAAATAAATATACAGGAATCTGTAGTGTCCACATTTACAAAAATTAACCAAGAATTTTATGCCCTATTGTATAATAATGAAATGTAGATTTCCCATTGGGAAACAACTCCTCAATTCAAGATTATGAATTGAATGGCACTCACCTATTGTTTTATTTGAAAGGCCTTAGAAGAGCCCCAAGCTTTGACTTCTAACTGGGCATAATTTGTGTACTATTAACTGTCATCTCTAAGAGTTTGTTCAAATGCCCAGTGATAGACTCAATATGGTAACGCCACCTTCATTAACTGACATTCTGTTATGGTTCTTACTACTGACATTTGAAGATGGCATCATACATGTTGCCACATTTTCAATTGACCGATTTTATAAAGCAGATTTACATATTCAAGTACTTTTAATGTTTTATTTTTTAAATTCCTTAAAATGCATATTCAAAGAGTTTTACCTGTTTTTATTTGATGCTGTGGGCAAACAAATAAGAATATAAAAAGAAAGGAGTATATGTTTCTCCTTATGCCTAAAATCACAACCCAAACTCTCACTTGTTCTTGATTTTACTTCTCTCCTGACTGCCCCTGAACTAGCAGAGTTGTGATGCCCTTGCTTCTACTGAGGCCAATCAAACTCATTGTCCTCTGTGCCATCCACTTCATTTGAAGCCCATGGCTTCCATGTAGCCTTCTCTGAACACCTCTAATCATTTCTGCCTACATCAACATTTAACCGAATACTATATATATATATATATATATATATATATATATATATATATATATATGTAGTATTATATATATATAGTATTTATATATATATTATTAACTAAGTCCCTATATTAACTGACTATATATATATATATATATATATATAGAGAGAGAGAGAGAGAGAGAGAGAGAGTTCACTCACATATTTAAGTCCTTTACTGTAATGATAGGTACACTCACATATTTAAGTCCTCTACTGTAATGATAGGTACACTTGACCTTCCTGGAGAGTAGGAGCCACATCATTATTCTTTTACTACCTTAACAGTGATGGTGTAGGATCAGGTATATACATAGGAAATCCTCACGGATTATTGACAACCCCAGACAGTGTAGAACACTAATATCTTCTGCTCTGACTCATTTTCTAACCTGTATTCTTAGAGCCAACTGGCTACTTGATATCCTCAGCAATTAGTCATTTCAAATAAAAGAGACGAAGCAGAGCTCTTATTTTCTCTTTCAGACATGAGTGTCATCCCCTGCATATGGTAACATTATCATCCCAGTTTAAAGCAAACACCTTGATGCTATCCTTGATTTTTTTCTTTTCCTTCTCTCACATCCAATCCACTAGAAATGCTATGGGTGCAACCTCCAAAATAAAACCTGAATCTCAATACTTCTCTCTATCTTGCCTGCTACTCTCCTGGTTCAAACCACCATCATCTTTCTCTGGATCACTAAATAATATCCTACCAATTTTCCCTTTTTTACTTAATCCCCCTATAATTCATTCTCCATGCAGTTGTCTTGCTGTTTTTCTAAAACATTGATCTGATGCATATTTTTTATGCTTGATTCTCTGCAATGGTTTCCACTGCTCTTGGCTTAATATAGCCTGTCTAACACAGTACACAAAACCCTTCTGGATCTCTGGCCCTGCCTACCTGCTTACCATGCCCTCAGCCTCTCTGTCTTAGTCACTGACATGTAATCAAATAAGTACAATGTGGCGTTGTAACTGCAAACAGAAATCAATGCACTTGGGAGGTATTTCACTTCGTCTGAGTGGGAGGTTTACACAAAAAGCAATCTGAAGGATAAAAGAGATTTTGTCAAGCAGACAAGGTGTGTGTGTGTGTGTGTGTGTGTGTAAAGAGTGAACAATGAACAGAATAGGGCATTTCAGAAAACCTTTTCTTTCCAAATGCCACTTGTGGTATGCTGTGGTTTGAATGTGTCCCCTCCAGAATTCAGGTATTGCCAATGTGAAATATTAAGAGGCAGGACATTTAAGAGGTGATTAGGCCATGAGGTCTCCTTTCTTGTGAATAAGATAAAGGCCCCTATAAAAGAGGCTTCATACAGCACTGGACTCTCCTGCCCTTGAGCCTTCTGCTGTGTAAGGACATAGCATTCTTACCCTCCAGAAGATGCAGTATCAACGCACCATATTGGAAGCAGAGAGCAGCCTTCACCAGACAATCGTACCTACCGGCTCCTTGATCTTGGACTTCCCACCCTCTAGAACTGTGATTAAATATTTGTGATATTTGTAAATTACCTAGTTTATGGTGTTCTATTATAGCAGTATAAACAAACTTAGATAGTTGTGATATACTACACTCCATTGTTACTTACTAGAATGAGTAATCTATCAATCTATAACCTACATCTTAAAAAATTTCTCAGTGATTTCCTAATCTCTGGCAGCTCTACATATCCATTTCACTTCTGCAATGAATGTCTCAAAATTAGGCACTGTTCATAACTTGAGTTGGGACAAGTGACTGTCCTGGTTTCAAAATTAAGAGTATGGGACATAATTCAACATGCTAAAAGATAGTGAGGGGATAAAAGAGGTTGTTTAACAGGTACAAATATACATTTAGAAGAAATAAGATCTGGTGTTTGATAGATCAGAAGGGTGATAATAGCTAACATTAATGTAGTGTATATTTAAAAGTAGCTAGAAGAGAATAAATCAACTGTTCCTAGCAAAAAGGAAAAGATAAATATTTAAGGTGATGGATATCCCAATGACCCTAATTTTATTAATGAAGATGTCAAATTATCACATGTACCTGAACATATATACATCTAATACGTATCAATAAAAATAAACATAAAAATAATTCAGTGTGTTAGATCACAAGCATATTCACATTACTGACATGGTAGAAAAAGAATCCTATAGAACAGGGGATAGCAAACTATGGACTGAAGGCCAAATCTGGCCCATTGCCCGTTTTTATAAATAAGGTTTTATTGGAACAGAGGTTCACACATTCCTGTGCACATTGTCTGTGGCTGCTTTCATGCTTTAATGGCAGAGCTGAATAGTCATAACAGAGACCCTATGGTCCCACAAAGCAGAAAATATTTACCCTCTGCTCTGTACAGAGAAATTTGCCAACCCCTGTCATACGGAAAGTAGTATTTGTTTATTTTAGGGAGAATTTAAAGCACATGACATTGTTCATGGTTTAGGTAAATGGCACAGCTTTTTTAAAAATGTGGCAATAGAGTAGTTCATGTTTATAACTATTTCCGAGATAGTGGAACTGTTAAAGAAAACAGTTTGTGGCTACATAAAGGCCTTGTAAATGAGATATCATTGCTGTGTGATCAGTTGATGTTTTCAGACTTGAAAGTACCTTTCAGTACATCCTTAAAATGTACAACAATAGGAAGTGATTTGCTGAAATAATACTGTTATAGCTGGCTCCAGCCCAAATTGCTCAAGGCCATGTAAAAATCTGAGGAGATGCAGACATAATAGGCTCAGCGGGTTGAAAATAATATCACATTTTTCTAAATGCAAAGACTAGTTTTGTGCCACTTACTAAGCTGAGTTCTGGTTTCACTGATAGTCTTTATTAACCTCTTCTTCTTCTGCATATATATATAATTTTTTGTTCAAATATACTCTAGGTGCTTAGTCACAGGATGCAAAATATTTTAAAACTGTTTTTCAACTGTGTGTATTTAAATAATTTTATTAACTTTTATGTTGGACTGAAACAAGTTTTCAGTCGTCAAACAATTTATTGCATTTTAATGGTTCACAAAAATGGTTTTTTTTTTTTCAACTGGAAATTTTACAGCTGACTGGCTGGCCATGTATAGTAGCTGTGTATGTCCTAATAGCTTAGGTCATTTCATTAGCACAAAGTGGAAGAGAATATTGTAATCATGACCACTCAGAGAAGACACTTATATGAACAATATGTTATTTTTATACTTAATGTAGCATTTTAATAAAACGATAGTCATAATAGTAAGAAATATCATGACTACCAAAAGCCTAGAGGTTTTGTACAAGAAACAAATAAAACAAGCTACAGGGAGTAGTGAAACTCCTCTAACTTTGCTTCCTGGGAATATCCTGATGCAAACTGTCTGGAAGTTCCAGTGGACAGTGTTTTCGCTTCATTACACTTCTCCTGCTGTCTCCATGGTTGGGAAGGTTGTTGCTGTTTTGTCTTTAGCTCTTTTCTAGTCTTCCTCTCTGTCTTCTTTTATCTAATCTTATGGTTTTGAAAATAACATCTGAGTGTTTGGCGTCCACACTGACCAAGGAGGCCTTAAGTCACCTGAGAACTCTAGACTTTCCTAAAATTCTTCTATCATTTTAATGTATGTTAACAGACAAGTTTTACTCTCATTACCATTCCTTTTCAAAATATATTGATGAGTCCCTTCTCTTTCTTTTTTGAGACAGGGCCTGTTGCCCACCCTGGAGTGCAGAGGCACAATCATGACTTACTGCAGCCTTGACCTCCTGGGCTCAAGCAATCCTTTCACTTCAGCCTCCCAAGTAGCTGGGATCACAGGCAAACCCCACTCTGCCTGGCTAATTTTTTAATTTTTTTGTAGAGATGGGGTCTTGCTATGTTGCCCAGGCTGTTCTTGAACTCCTGGGCTCAGATGATCCTCCCACCTCAGCCTTCCAAAGTGCTGGGATTACAAGCATGAATCATGGTGCCTGACTTATGTTTTCTAAAATATTAAATTAACAAATGTCTAGTGAATAAAGTTTAAAACCAGAAAACAATGGCCATAGCAAACTGCACAGAACAGCTGTTTGATAGTTCCCCAGTACCTTGCTTTTCTTTCCTTCTCCAGCTATCTACGAAATTGATGCTTCTCAAATCGTGATCTACGTACCATCTGTGTCAGAAACAATTGAGCCATTTACTTAAAATATCAACCATAAGCCCCACCCTAGGCCTTCAGAAACATTACCATGGCTATAGGTCTTTTCAAAAATTTCCCAGATGATAATTACACATAACCAATTTTGAGAGCCAATGTGATCCATTTTCAAAACTTACAGAAGTTTTTGAAAGACTATACTCTTCTTTTCTACCTCATTTATCATATTCTCTATAGTATATTTCTTTCCTTCTGCTTTAATATAGGCCCTTATCTCTCATGTCTGGATAATCAAAAACCTTTGAAATAATTCCCTTTTTTCTAGTTTTCTGATGCTGCCAGATTTGTCACCTAGAATCGTAATTTTAGCAGTTTAATCACTGGCTTCCCAGTGAAATGTGCCCTTTTTCTTCTTGAAATGAATGCCACCTTGTTAGTTAAGGGACTTAGTTAATGCCTCTAAAATCTTTTCCTTGGGGAATGAGATTACTTCCTTTTCTTAAATATATATTCCTTTTTATTCCTGTCAACTTCTTTTGAAGTTTTTCCAGGTGTGTTGCTACTTCCATTTAAATTCAATTTATCTATTATACAAAGTTCAAATTAAACTTAACATCCTCCAAGAAGCACTGCCTCTTCTGAAACCCCATAGCATTTAGACACAATCTGTGTCTCAGCTGTGGTTATTTGTACATGTGTTGAGGCACCATATCACAATCAGCCATTCATTTCATGGGAAAAATAATCATTGATTGGACTATAATTTCAATTTACAAGGAAGTTCAAACATGGATTTTAAGCAACTTTGAGAATTTCTCTTCAAGCATACATAAAATTACAGGCCACTTCTTTTAAAGACACCCAACAGTTGGAAGTAGACAAGAGGTTTCAGCGATGGGATTCTAAAATAGATAACAGGAAACTCCAATAAACCTCGGCCTTAGAAATGTACTTCTGCATCTGAGAAATAAGCTGAAGGCTAGGTGCTTTAGTGGGGAGTTAGTGTGAGCAGAGCCATGGGTGTAAAATCCATGTTTTTGAGGAAGGGGTTTGGAAAATACCTACTCAGCTGGAGTACATTACATAAACAGAAATTTCCCTACATCTCTGTTTGCTCAGGGGCCCTAGTACTGTAGAATTGTTTGGATAGAAGGAAGAAAACAATTGCCAGTAAATCTGTGCAGGTTGTTCTGATCCAGTAACTACAGGGAAATATTCATGTCTCCTTGCTCTGTGAGCTGGACTCCAGGAAGATACTATTTCTAATAGTTCTCAAACCCCAGACAACCTGTCTGTCTTGGTCATGAATAAAGCTTATTATTTTATCTGTCAATCAAGTTCAATCCATACCCCCACCCTGCCTCTGATTATCTCTTCTTGATTTCATTAAATATTCACTGTATAGGTACTGCTTTATGTACATAGCAGTACCTTAGGCATAGGGACACTGCAGTGAAGAATAGATATGCTCCTTCTTCTGTAGGACTGTGTAGTAAAATGAAGGACCCTGAAACATTTATAACATTTTATAACTACATATTACATGACGTTATAATCTCTACCTTTTATTTTTTGGTATTAACTAAATTCTATAGGAACAAAGAGGTGAAGGCAATTCTACATGGGCATTTGAAAAAATTTTGAAGAATGAATGACTTTCACATAAACAGCAAGATTATTCTAGGAGAGGGAACAGAATCAGTAAAGCACAGAAGCATAAATATGTTCAGTAGGTTGGGAGAGAAGTACGTAGACTGCAGTGTAGGCTGCATGATAGGATATGATGGTAGGAGAAGATGGGGGTTCCAGTATAGGTTGGAATATTTCATGTGACTCTTCAGAGAATAACAGTGATGGGTGGTGGCTCCATGGAAATTTATTATATTACTCTGTATACTTTCTCTCTTATTTAGATAGATAGATAGATAGATAGATAGACAGATAGATAGATCTCAAAACCACAGTGAGATACAATAATCTCACCCCAGTCAGAATGGCGATTATTAAAAAGTCAAGAAACAACAGATGCTGGTGAGGTTGCAGAGAAACAGGAACGCTTTTACACTGTTGGTGGGAGGGTAAATTTAGTTCAATCACTGTAGAAGACAGTGTGGACAGTGTGGTGATTCCTCAATGATCTAGAACCAGAAATACCATCTGACCCAGCAATCTCATTACTGGGTATATACCCAAAGGAATATAAATCATTCTATTATAACGATAGATGCACACATATCTTCCTTACAGCACTATGCACAATAGCAAAGACATGGAATCAGCCCAAATGCCCATCAATGATAGATTGGATAAAAATAAAAATGTGTGTATACACCATGGAATACTATGCAGCCATAAAAAGGAACAAGATCATGTCCTTTGCAGACATGGATGAAGCCGGAAGCCATTAACCTCAGCAAACTAACAGAGGAAGAGAAAACTAAACACTGTATGTTCTCACTTATAAGAGGGAGCTTAACAATGAGAACACATGGACACACAGTGGGAACGACACACACTGGGGCCTGTTGGGGAAGGGCAGCATAGCTAATGCATGCAGGGCTTAATACCTAGGTGATGGATTGATAGGTGCAGCAAACCACCATGGCATACCTTTACTTATGTAACAAACCTGCACATTCTGTTCATGTACCCAGAACTTAAAGAAAATAATAAATAAATATTACCCAGAATCCTAGTGCCATAATAATTCAACTGCAAATATATATATGTATATATATAATTTGATTTTTAAAATGGAACTAAGGACCTAAACAAATATTTCTTAAAAGAAGACATACAAATGGTCAACAGGTATATGTAAAAGTGCTCAACATCACTAATCATCAGGTAAATGCAAATCAAATCCATGAGATATCGCTTCATACTTGTTACGATGACTGTTATCAAATCAAAAGAAAACAAATGTTGGTAAAAATGTGGAGAAAAAGGAATTCTTATACATGTTGGGTGGGAATGTAAACTAATACAGCCATTATGGAAAACAGAATAGAGGTTTTTCAAAAACTCAAAAATCGAACTACTATATGATGCAGCAATCCCACTATTGGATAAATATCCAAAGAAAATGAAATAAGCAAGTACAAGAGATGTACGCACAACCCATGTTCACTTCAGCACTATTTGCAACAGGCAAGATATGGAATCAACTTAAGTGTCTAGTAACGATGAATGGATAAGGAAAATGTGATATATATAGAAAATGAAATGGTATTCAGCCTTGAAAAACAAGAAAATGCTGTCATTTATGGGTCAACATGGATGAACCTAGAAGACATTACGTTAAGTAAAATAGGCCAAGCACAGAATGATAAAAATCACGTGATCTCACACATACATGGAATCTAAAAATGCTGAACCCACAAGCAGAGAGTGCAGTGGTGGTTATCAGAGGCTAGAGGGTGTGGGGATTGGGAATATGTTGATCAAAGGGTAGAAAATTTCAGTTAGAGTAAGTTCAAGAGATCTGTTGTATCTCATGATGACTGTAATTAAGAACAATATACTGTATACTTGAAAATAGCTAAAAAAAGTAGATTTTAAATGTTCTTACCAACAAAAATAAATATATGATAATACATATGCTAATAAAATTCATTTAGCCACCTCCAATGTATACATATATCAAACATCATATTGTACAACATAAACATATAATTTTTGTCAATTAAAATTATACATATATAATTTTTCAAAAGATGCTGACCCTAATAGGTATTTTACCTATATACATAGTTAGAAAAGTACATATAAAATATTTTCTTTATCTATTAGCCCTGACTTTTGTGTGCTACATCTAATATCATGGCTCAGACAGTCTCAGACATTTTCAGAGGATCACATTATCTTAATCTGTGGAACTCTCCCATAAAATCATTTCTGATTTCACTAATGGCCTTTGAAAGGCTCCTCTTCTCTATATTTCATATAGTAACAATTTGAAATGCTTCTGACAGGGAATTTTTAGGACCCCAACTCTAGGGACAGAAATACTGGGAAAAGGATCCTGGATGTGTACAAAATCCATATTTTGGTTCTGCCTGTAACGATCCCTTAACTTGGGCATCTTGCTTGTTTCTGAACCTTGGCTTTTCATTTACAAAATAGAAATAATTCCTGGAGTCTTCACAGGATCAAAATGGCGCTTGCGAAAAAGACTTTTGTTAGTAAAGAGTAGACAAAGTATAATTATGTATTTCTTTTTTCTTTTTTTTTTTTTTCGGAGATGGAGTCTCACTCTGTTGCCAGGCTGGAGTGCAGTGGCGCGATCTCGGCTTACTGCAACCTCCGCCTCCCAGGTTCAAGTGATTCTCTTGCCTCAGCCTCTCGAGTAGTTGGGACTACAGGCACTTGCTACAATGCCCAGCTAATTTTTGTATTTTTAGTAGAGGCGGGGTTTCACCATGTTGGTCAGGATGGTCTCGATCTCTGGACCTTGTGATCCACCCGCCTCAGCCTCCCAAAGTGCTGGGATTACAGGCATGAGCCACCGCACCCGGCCAATTATATATTTCTTTTAGTCTGTAAGACCCTTGGAAATAGGGGCTTAAACATTTTATTCTATGCCTATAACAGTACTTTACACAATGTAGGTAATCAAAAAAATAAATTTTCAGTCAATAAAGACAAGCTCAAAGAAATTAAAAATAAAATCAGTCATTTTATAGGAATAAGTTTTTACTATCACAGGAAGCATAAATATGAAGAAACATAAAGGCAATGACCAAAATAGATGTTCAAAGTTAAAAATAAAATGCAGATTATTGTTGAATCATTCTATGACTTGTTTTAAACATTAACATTGTCAAACCTTTAATAGGAGTAACCTTAGATAAGCATAGAAGTTACATCTTAAAATTTTATTTTGTGTGTGTGTGTGTGTGTGTGTGTGTGTGTGTGTGTATTTTTGTGATCGTGAACCATAAAGTCATTAAGGTTAATTTAATGAAATTTCATATAGTTAGAGTGCCAGCTGTTTAATAATGAAGAATGCTGTGTACCAGTTTAGAGAAAGCTTTAGGGGTTGTTTTATATGCCATTTTTAACAAACTGACTAAGCCAGGAGTCATTTGAAGATGTAAAGATTGGAAAAAATAAATCCACAATGATGGCTAAGCTAATTGTTTACAATAGCAAATAGCATCTAATATGGTGGGACATAATTGACTATATGTGTAGCCTATGGCAATATTCTCTTAAGGAAAACAATGTGTTTTTTTTTGCTTTTAAATTTTTTTTGGTTTTCAATAAATGAATCTAATACACATATTTAATTATAGGTTGACTGGTGTGTTTTCTTCACAGTTTGCGGAAAAAAATGCTTTTTTTAAATTGTCGGGTCTTGAATCCATATTTGTTTTCATCCTCATTACTTCTTAATGACTTTCATGTATAATTAAAAATTATTGGACTACTTTGGCCTTATTCTTGCCTCACTTCTCCTGATCTAGGTATTCATCTCTATGTGTATTGGGTCTGGTTCTCTATTTGTAAGATAACTCACATTCCTTGGATCCATAAGGAAAAAAAGAATGTCCTCAACTCTTCACCACAAACTCCACCAGTGGAAAAGAGTAGCATCTTCCAGTCCCAGGGGGTTTATATGCACACAAATGAGGGAATATCCAGAATGGTCTTTCTTTATAGAGTGGAAGAGTCTCCCCATTCACCAGATGACCTGGGGTGTCATTTCCCTACATTAAGCTCTAAGGTACATGCGTGGTGCCTCTGAAAAAAATTGGGGACAAAGGTGGCCTCTAACAAAGAACAAAAGAACAAAGAACTGGCCCATATGAAAAAGAGACAGTGATAACTGGGGCAGATATAGCATATAGCACATACGACGCTAACATAAGCCATTTAGGTTTTCAGGAGATAATCAAACTATCTCTTTGAAATTGAATCACAGAACCCGGATCACATGATTTTGTGATGGATAACAGTGAAATGGAGGGGCACGCCACCCAGCAACTAGTTGCAGGATTACTATAACTTCACTGTATACTCTAATGGTCCATAGATACTTTGAGGCTTTTATCATTTTTCCAAGTTGTCTGTAGTCTCAATATGGAATTATAAATAAGTAATCCATAATTTTTAACAAAGACACCAGAATGAGTTGAAGGAACAAACTTCATTTAGATTGTCATCAAGTATGTTAGAAGGCTATTTTGGATGTAAATTATTTTTCTTATACAAAAAATAGTAATTAACATTGATTAAAGCCCAGTGAATTCAGTCCAGTGTATTCAGCTCCTCCACTGGTAGCCGCAATACTAAGTTCTGAGAGGCTTGTAAAGATATTAGTCTCAGTCCTTTCTCTCGAGAAACACACACGAATAGGCATAGAAAGTGATATAAATAATAAACTGGAAAGAAAAGCAGTGTGTGACAGAAAATTATATTTGGCAGATTAATATAAAATGTTTTTAAAATATAAAAGGATAGTTATAAACATACAGCAAAATCTAGATTGGCAAGTATTTAAGCAAAACTAAACAAACAAATAAATAATCCAGAAATGTTTATCTCAATGATCTTTTAGAAGAAAAATGATTTGTTCTACTTGGATTGGCTACAGTTCTCTGAGTTATTGGATGGAAGCAAAACATGGCCATAACCTCATTGGCCATCAAGGCAAATGTATCCAGCCAACCCAGAAACTTAAGGCACACATTCCCACATATTTTCCCATGGGAAAGACTTGGCTGTATGGGCTCAACTACTGCCAAATAAGCCATTTGCTTGGAATGGGATTTATCTGGGTAGGGCTGAGAGGTGAGATAGGGTGGAGAGTTAGCTAAATGGATTAAGGATGGTGAAATAAATAATTTGTCCTGGTATAGAAGCTTGGTGTAACAACAGGTGCAAGAATGGTGAAAGTGGGTACCTAAAATATTACCAGTTTTGCCAAAGGCCGTATCTAAGCAAGTGCATTGATGTCACCTCAACCTCAAAAGTAGTCTCTGAGCTGCTTAAAGGCAGAATTAATGTCTCCTTTCTCACCTCTCCCCAGTACTTAGCACAATGCTATGACTTAATAGCTACTCAGTAACTATTTGCTGAACAAGTTAGTGAGTGTATTTGCATGTATTTGAGCACCAGTTAGTCTATAAAGTAAGGCAGACCACCCAGGAAATCTCTCTTATAATTCACTCTCTTCGTTTTGGTACCAACAGTAACAGAAAGTTGCTGCTTCTTTTTTTGTGCCTTAACAGAGATATTAGGAAGAGAAAAAAAATCTGTCAAAGGAGAACAACATTCTTTTGAAGAAAAATATTGACATTCACAAAAAAGAACAAAGCTCTTGGTGCCCCTCTATCTTGAACATCCCTCTACCAGCAAAAGAAAGCACAGAGGTTAACAGATTTAGCAGGGAAAGCAGGCTGTAATCCCATTGACAGCTAGGAAATGAAATGACATCAAGTATTCAATAATTGCCCTCAATTAGCCTATGCAAAGCAAGGATTAATTACCAGCATTGAAAAAGCTCACCTTTGACTCCTCTTTCAAGATCTCTCTTACACTGAGTGTTCTTCTGGTGTTATAAATGAAGGTCCGGTGGACTTGATAACTTGCTTTTCCCTTAATATATTTTAGTAGAAAGTAGCTTTTAATATGGCAACAGAAATTTAATGAAAGGGAACTCTTAGCTGGTCTCAGAAATACATATACAAATAGACACAGATACAGATGTAGACATAATGTATAGATATATGTAGGTACAAATACACAAATGACTGGAATTTACTGATTCAGCATGCACCAGGCATTAGCAATAACCCTTGTACACATTAGCTTTGGAATTCTCAGGACAGCAATTAAATGTATTCACGTAAACCTATAAAATAATGTTATTACTATACAGGGAAATAAATCATAACAATAATGTCTACATAGGTACCGATTCTACTTTTTGGCATATTCTCCTAACAAAAGCTATCTTTTCCCCAAGCCAGTAATAAAATAAAACCAAATGAATCTCTAAAGCCATTCACTTAATGAAATAATTTTGTTAAGCAAACAATAAAAACCTCATTGGCAACAAAAAAGTAGTAGTGTCAGAGCACACTGGAATGCCTGAGCAAAAGGGTAGATGTGATTTGCTCTGTTTAGGAGAGTTATCTGGGCAAATGGAAAGGCTTAGCTGGGTTTAGTTAATGTTGCTAGTAAGCACAAGAGTTAGGAAAAACAAGGAAGTGAAGGAATAGAAGAGATAAGAACACAGAAAAGTGGAGAACGTAAGAAAACAGGAGACGGGGCTTGGGAAATTAAATTAAAACTTGCTTGATCGCCTGTTTCAACCGCTGTGTGAGATCCTTTTACCTATGGCTAGGCAATTATGACAGCATGGTTAGCAACCAGGAAGCCACACTCAATTACATAACAGGACTGAGGTCAGAAGATTGAGGAATGGGAAGTATGTCCTTTTTGGAATTTGCTGGATTTGAACTCAACCAGATGTGGATTTAAGTTCCATCCTTTATTATTAGAGATATCTCTATGGATAAGGAAATCTGACAGGGGTTGGTCGATGGGCAAGGGTGCTTAATCATAACATTAGCACAACTGTTCCGTATAGTTTGTCATTATTTGGTGGAAGGATGGTCCAAATCCTACTCATTGCCACAGCCATCTGATGTTTCTGTAAGCCTGCAAACCAGTCAGCAGGGAATGGGATGGATCTGATGGTTTAACAGGGACAAGGTATGTCCTGATGAAATGTTTTATGTCATTTACAAAGTTGATACAGACCCAAGCATAATAATTGATTTAGTAATTGCCTAGTATATGGAGGTTTCCAAACTTCTTCTAGTGAAGCCAAGGGCAGAAGCATACATTTGTGCTGGCTTTAAAAGAAAATATATTCTTTCTTTCTTTCCTTCTTTCTTTCTTTTTTTTTCTGAACATACCTTGAAAAGATAGTTAAGAGAAACGTATTGATGGATCCGGATCATATCAGTTCATTATCCCAGTATGATACTGGGTTTCAAAAGAAGATGCTATGGACACTCTTCTGGAGATAATTTAGTGAGGTGGAAAAAGAGAGTGTGGGTTCAAATCCCAGCTCTGCCACTTGGCAATTTGTCCCCATCTGTTTGGCGGAAGTTATTTAAGTACTTTCAGTCTCAGCAGTTTCATCTGTAAGATGAGGATGTTCTTAGTGTCTATTTCAGAGCTGTTGTTAAAGTGTTTAGAACTGCGCCAGCACATAGTAAGGGTTGAATACATGTAAGCTATCATTACTACTGCTATATTATAATAACACTATTAACATAATGAAATTCTACTCCCTATATTTGTAAAGTACAACATTGAGAGATTACCTAGATTGTACTATTTTTATGTAGTTTTCAGTGAACAGGATACTTGGGTGTTTCTCTCCAGGCTAGTGCTTAGTAAAAATGTACACCACCCCCCCACCCCCCAAAAAAAGAAAGAAACAAAGAAAAAAAGACGGAAAAAAAAGGCTTTAAAAGTAAATGAAACCGAATCATGTGTTTTCCAAAGGGGGTTTATTGTTGCTGGCTACAGCACTACATTTTTAAAAAGCCAATCATTTTCTTACAAAAACGGTCTGCAAATAATGAGTCATGCTGCAGAATTTTGTGACTTTTCAGAGAATTATTTTCTGACAGCACTATATCTCTAAGTAACTTTAAAACTCTGTTGAAATTGGTTTGTTTAGACGACATTCGCCAACTTCTGCTTTGGGTGTTAAGAATGAACCTTTCAATTAAGGCAAAGTAAGACTAGTCCAACTGTTTTTGAACACAGTAATGCTGCAGACTGCCCGAATGTAAACAGAAATTGACAATTTGAAAATGTCATCAACCCTGAGCTTTCAAAGGTGTTAAATATTTAACTGTAGCTAACAGACTGCAAAGTAATATTTGCTTGACCAAATATACGTGCTTATTATTTCTCCACGATCACTCTCAGCCTCATCTCTTTTGTAGCTTCACTTAGTTTTCAGAAGCTCACCAGGCCTGAAGGTGGCAATGACAATTTTCTTCTAGAAAACTCCAGGTTTAGCTTGAGGGGAATGCTTTAGACTCTAGGCTTTGAGCCTGGGCTCAAATCTCAGATACGAAACCTAAAACCTAGATGACTCTAAGCCTGTAATTGAACTTCTTTTGGCCTCAGTTTCCTCATCTGTAAAGTCTTTTACATAGTTTGGAAAATGAATGAGAATGCCAGGAGGCAGTGTGCGCCTATGGTCCCAGCTACTCGGGAGGCTGAGGCAGGAGGATCACTTGAGCCTAGGAGTTCAAGTTCAGCCTGGGCAACATAGCAAGACTCTGTCTCTTGAAGCAATAAAAAGAAAAACAAAATGAGATAATGAGGATTAACTACTTAGCACACAGTGCCTAGCATGCAGTAAGCAGAATAAACATTAGCAATAAGTACAGAACGTGTTGTTATCACTGTTCTATTATATATGCAGCACTTTAAGATCTCTGGGCATCTGTGTTTGCTCCTTTTTCTCTTGGAATGCTCTGGCTTTGCATGGATGTCCTTTTCTCACCCTTTGTTTCTCCACTGAGATGGCATCTCCTCCCAGGGGCCTTGGCTGAGCTCTCTGGTAAAAGAAGACTTTCCTGAAGCCCCACTCCTCATGCCCTGTCTGCTTCAATACTTGACTGTATCTGAAATTAGATTACTAGCTTTTTAAACCAATTGATGGTCTCCCCCAATCAAGTACAGGCCCCTTACAGAAGATACTTTCCCTGTCTTTTTCATCATCAATTTCCAGAGCCCAGAACAGGATATGTCTCACTGGGGTCTCTGAAATGCTTACCGATGAACCAGCTCCAAATAAGATTATGACACATATGCCTTTGTGTTAACTTATTTAATTCATACATCAAGATGTTACTCAGAATATAACATGGTATTATTAAAGAGAGTTCCTGAGAAAGTTAATCCATCATGCAGCCTTTATACACGACTTTTACTAATTCTGTCATTAAGTGTGTCATTAGTGTCTAGGATTTTGGTAAAAATAATACACGAAGGAGAGCTGGAAGTAAAGTGCATAATATTAGCATAACTTATCTCCTGATCAAGTTAAAAATATAAGATACTTTGTGATATGGTCCCTAATATTCCAGTGTTCTTAAAAATAGCTCTAAGGAGAAGTGAAACAGAATGGAAGTGTTCATTAATCCAGGATTGTAGGCAAAGACTACACTCTTCTTGAAGACTTGAGCTCCAGTGAATGATTCCCTCTTCTTGAAGACCTAACCTCCATTGAATGTTCCAGTTCTACTCTCCTGGCCACCTGCGTTACTTAGGAATAGTGCCTACAGGAAAAACGACACCTGGCTGGCAAATTGGTCTATACATATCTGGAACAGTCTTCATAGTTTTGAGTGTCCCTGAATGTGGTGACTTTTCTAACTGGCATGCCCCATGTCATATACAATGGCAGCTATGCCCACGGATCTGTCAGAAGTATTGGTTCCATTGGAGGCATGAGGCATCTAAGCCAAAGCAGTTCTTCTGACTGTCTGATCTCAACATGTCTTCTTACACCTGAACTGTCTGCTGCATGGCAAAATGATGTCTATTGGGCACTACGTACTGCTATAAAATCTCTCCCTTAAAAGAAGATTTTAAGTTGCTCTGCTGGCAAGTTGTACTTTCATCCCATTCCTTTTTGATGAATCTGATGCCAGTATAGCCAATGGCAATCTCTTGTAAGACTCAATGCTTGTTATTAAAGTCTAAACAGCAGAGACCCTAGTGGGTGAGGCAGGAGTGGTAACGGTTTGATGGCTATGAAAATCACAGATAATATTTTGAAAAGGAGTTGCCAAATCAAAGGGCATAGACTGAACCCGTGAAACGTAGGTGAGAAAACCATGGGCTCAAGTACTGATTAGCTAAGGAATTTTGCAGAGAAGCAACTTAAAACTACACAGGAACCCCTACAGTCACATACCATAAGACTGAGTGAGGCAGAAGGATGAGGAATGGACCATTTTAAATCTACTTGGAAAGATTTTGGGGTACGTAAGCTACATCAAAAAAAAAATCAGCTGCATACTGAAGCTGAATAGACATTCCCTGTCTTTTTCATCATCAATTTCCAGAGCCCAGAATAGGATATGTCTCAATGGGGTCTCTGAGATGCTTATTGATGAACCATCTCTAAGATTATGACATATATGCCTTCATGTTAACTTATTTAATTTATACGTAAAGTTGTTACTCAGAATATAACATTGTATTATTAAAGAGAGTTCCTGAAAAAGTGAATCCATCATGCAGGCTTTATTCATGACTTTTACTAATTCTGTCATTAAGTGGCAGTATTACTAACTAGAGTGGCATTTTGCTTTTTCTTTAAACAATCTCCATTTCTTATTCTCTCCTAGTTTTTCTTTTTTCTTTTTGCTGAATTCTTAACAGAAGTGCCTTCCTTGTGAGGATAAGCAGTGTCCTGTCATAACCTACTATATATTGGAAAAAACTACAGAGAAAATGTCCCACCGGGAACATGGTAGAGAACAAGACCTTTGAGTAGAAAGAATTCTGGTTTTTTAGATGATAACAACTTTTCCTAGCACTTTATCCATCCTTCAAAGCAGCATCCATAATAAAAATGGACCACAGAAGGGAGTTGAAAACTCCAGATTCTGACCAGAACAATTCCTTAGAATGATAGTGCATCTGGGCACTTGGCCCTCAGGCTCCAGGAGACAGGGCTCTTCATCTGAGGACCGAGGATAAGGATGTGTCTGGCAAGACCCTGTGCAGGACCAACATTCTGAATTTCATTACTCTTCCTCCACACCCCAGCTTCTATCAGGACAGCATCCTTCCATTTGCTTTGCCTTTGATTTCTTTCCACGTAAAAAATTATAGGACTTTCCTAACCAAACTTCTTTTTTTCTTGTTTCTCTTCCTTGTGTATATATCGCCTTTTAATATTTCTGAAGTACACCTGTTTTTAAAACTCTTCCTCTCAATGATGCCTCTCTGCTCATCACAAGATGTCCAAAGTTAGATTGTCCCACTGAAATCCTTCTTTCTATCCTTGAAAACTCCATGTAATGCATGAAATCCATATTTAATACAAGGTAGGAGTGACCAAGCAGGAGACAACAGGGCTTTAGCTGTTGCAAACCCAAGTGAGCACACTTAGGTCTATTGTTCAATTTAATAGTCAATGACCCTTCCTGACAGAGGGTGATGTGTTTTCTCACAGACATCTGTAAACCTAACCAATGCCGATATCTTCATAGATATGAACAAAAAATGCATACAGAAGCAATAAATCATCCTACAGTTATCTAATATTAGTTGATGCCATTACTTTTCTTTATCATCAGTGACATTTTATTACTATTTTTGTTGCTTAATTCTCAAAAGTGCACTGAGCCTATACTACATAAAAGGTAATGCATTAAGGGCTATGGGCCAAAAGCATATTGTCAGATATGATATGGAAATTCTTCTTCCAAACGCTTCAAAAATTATAATTTGTGAGTCACTGAACCAAGCAGAACTGTGGTTTTGGCAACCTGGATATACACTCCCACCACAGTGCTAATCTTCAGCAGGCAGAACAAGGTACAATGAACTCTGAACTTTTGTTATTAAAACTAATCTAAGTTTGATTCCCCACAGGCTTAAAATTTATAGGAGAAGAAACATTTTCATGTTCCTTATTTGGTCATTTAAATATTATGATGGTTTCTCTTTAGTGATTCACATTCCTTTCCTATCAACTGTGGATCTCCTATGCTTGACTTTTTTTATTATTATTATACTTTAAGTTTTAGGGTACATGTGCACATTGTGCAGGTTAGTTACATATGTATACATGTGCCATGCTGGTGCACTGCACCCACTAACTCGTCATCTAGCATTAGGTATTTACTTTATTTTAAAATGGCAAATGAGGAAACAAACAAAAGGGGACTGCACAGCTTGTTGTGAACCAAGACAAAGAACTTGTAATCCTGGGACTCCTCAAAGCTCACCAAATTCCATTCAACCCTTCATAAAGCTAACCTGCAGAGTGCACTCCCCGACACGTGTGAGACAAATGAGATGCGATGAGAGATGAAGCCAAAAAAGCAGCACTCCCCTGTGTCTTCAATTAGCCACGGAGTGAAAATGAGACAAACAGTCATGTATAATTTAGAGGCTTGCTCTCCGGTTCTTCCTGCCGTGGGAAGCCTTTCACCGAGGAAGGAAGCGTGATCCAGTAAAGTGCTCAGGCTTGGGAGTGGGCCTTGTTGGGTTGTGTTTCCAGTTAGTTCACTGATGTACTTTGTGACCTTGTATGCAACTTAATTTCTATCAAAGTGGCTGAAACAACTTGCTTTTAAAGATGACTTGTTTGCTTATTCTGGGGAGGGGCAATGCCAGCAGTCCTTCAGTGTATGTGTTATCAATATGTTTGGCACAGAACAGACTGAATGAGCAAATGGCTTGATCTGTGAGACAATGCAGATTACTGAGACTGTAGGATAATGCAACAAGGAGTGCTGGATGATGTTACAAAGCACATCCTCTGCTACCTAGAGGGTTACGTTACGTTTTATGATTTCATCAGTCAACAAATTGAGAACCATCCTAAGGATGAAAAAAAAAACTACTTAAGTAAGTGCCAAATAAGTCTGTAACCTTATTTGACCAAGAAAGTATGGGGGAGAAAAGGATTTATTTCTAGAGGAAGTGGGTCTTGGTCTAATATTAGCCTTAAGTTGAAGTGCTGAGAACTAGATAGAGAGTTGCAGGGTTGATGTCTGCAAGCAAATTTCAAAAAGCAGTTGCTGGGTCTGGGAATAGACACTACTGAGGAAGAAATCATTACAGTCCATAGAAGAATCCAGAAAGAAGGTGGGTAGAATCCCTCTCCTATCATGGGAAGTGTGGATAAGCCTTTCTACCTCCACAAAGCTTCTGAGGCACAGCCCCTTTGAGTCAGAGAGAGAAAGTCCAGTTAGCACACTAGCTAAGAGGGCCTGTCTTGGAAGAAGATGATATAACACATCACAGCTCAAAGAAATGGTGGCATGCCTCAGACCACTGCCGGCTTAGGAGACCAGTGAGAAACTTCCTTTACCAAAGATTAGTATTCCAGGAAGCCAAGAAGAAAATAAATACCTTTGGACCTAAAGAGAAATAATATGTAACATTCATTGAACACTTAGTATCAGGCATTACATTAAGTGCTTTACATATTTTATCTCATTTAATTCTAAAACCAATGTTATGAGATTGTTGCTCTCATTATATGTAATAAACCACGCAATAACTAAAAAATATGCAAAAATAAAAATAGATAAGTAACATAACTATTTTATACCCATAAAAGTGGGGGTTGTATGGTTTTTTAGAATAATTAGGATGGAAAGATGGAAAGCAGACAGATGCATGCACTATTTTGGCCCTCATCTTCAACCCTAAATAGGGTAACTAAATGTCTCAATTTACTCAGAAGTATTCAGGCTTTAGCACACAGCTCAGGAAATCCTTCGTTCCTTGGCAAACCATAATGGTTGGTGATCCCATTCCCCCAACTACTAAATTTTGAACTACTTGGCAAATAAATACAGAGATTTAAGCCCCAGTATGTCTGGAGTCAAGTCAAAGCATGTTTTGCTTTAACAATTTTCCAGGTGATGCTGGTGCCTACCAAGATTGGAAAAACACTGACTGCAGCTGAAAGAATACAGGTAAAGCATGAATCATCCTTCCCAGGCCTGCATTTATTTAGAGGTTGTGTGTGCAAGCCAACTTCTGCCTTCCACTTAATTCCCATCTGGTTGAGGTGCCAAGCCACCCATAAAATAACTATAGATTGAAAGCAAAGCAAAGCAAGTGTGCAAGCACAAAGAGAAAAGTTAATTAAAAATATGGAAGGGGTAAGAGTGTAGAAATAAGGTGAATGAATGGATATCAGGAGAAGAGGAGTGCAAGAGGAAAGCAGTGCCTGGGTTTGGAGGTTTGGAAGGGAAAGCTGTGGAGAAAGGTGATCCTCCCAGACTCTGCGCACATCTTCTCCCTGCTGCTTTTTGGGGCTGTCTTTTTTTTTTTTTTTGTCACGTGCAGCAGCCACTCACAGCTTGTGTTTCTCTGAAACTTGGATCATTTTACCAGCTATTTAATAAGACTAAATAAATGGTGTCAGCATCAGAAAGCATTGCACATTTTGTTTAGAGACGTGTACATTCCTTCTTGCTATTAAACTGTGATAACTTTTGGCAAGAATATTACTTTGCTCTGTCTTCTCTGAGAAGAAATTTTCCTTCTGTTCTCACATGGCCATTGAAGAAACAAAGACTACCATATTTAATGGAAGACAAAAGGGCATGCATTTGGGAAAATATTGACTTAGAAAACCTTATCCCTGAGAAAAAGATTGTAAGGGAATGAGCCGATGAAAAATCCCATGTGATTTACAGAATTTAGAAACTTCTTTTTTTGCTAATGTTAATTTATCACTTAAAATTGACCCAGAACATTAAATCAATACCAATTTTAGCTAGCCACTATGTTTTTGGAAATTAGAGTTTAAATCCCACTTTTGTTAAGTAGGAAAAAAATAATCCCATAAAGCTCCCAGTTGGGATCTAGTAAAAGGGCATCCTTTTATGAAAGAAGCTTCCCAGAGAGCAAGCAAATAAATGACCCCCAAAGAGGACTGAAGGCTTTTTACCATAAATGTGTACTATTTTCAACATTAGTTTAATTAAGAATGGATATAAAAAATAAGTCTTCAGAGCCTGCATAAGCCAGCATTTATCTTTAAAAAAATTCCTGTATGAATTCCTGTACGAAGATCATCTTAATGGCCATCACTGCACGCGATCATAACTTTCAGCACTTGCCTTCCTCTGCTTTGTCTCCTCACACTTTTACTCATGCCTTGTTCCTAAATTTAAACTGAAATGAGGACAGAGAAGGTGTCTCATTCATTTCTCTGTCCATTTGTTCATTCATTCATTCAACCCATATTTACCGAGTGGCCGGTATGTGTCAGGGTTAGTTTTAGGACCTGGAATACAGTGGTGAATAAAAATGCAGTCACTGAATTATGTTTACAGGCTTGGGGAGGTAAGATTGGTAATCGAATAAGAAATCATGATGACAACTGTACGTGCTATGGAATGGGTAAACTTGTGACACTAAGGACTTAATCTTGAATAATCAAGGAAGGGTTTTCAGGGAAAATGACTGTTAAGCAGAGTCATTTGCTCTACAGGTTGGCAATAATTAACCAACACTAAACGGTGGGAAAAGCAGTGCCATCCATAGACAAGGCATGAGTTAGAGCAAAAGTGCTGCAGCCAGGCACAGGCAAGTCCTGAGTTCATCTGTCTCCAGTAAGCACTCAGGTCTGTGCCTTGAATGTGGCCTCCACGCCACATGAGTTAAATTACAATAATAAAATTCCACCTAGATCAAAGTGTATGTGAAAAAACATGAGGTCAGCATTATCCTTCAGATATTTTTAAGGGCTCTAATCACCCTTAGGTTTTTTTTTAGTGCTTATTTCCATAGTGCTTGTAACTCAATAGCTTAAGAAACCAAATCAGTGAGGGGGAAAAAAGAAAAACGACTAAATTTTTGCTTGAAGATGAGTTAACGTTTGTTTAACAACAAGAATCCAAAGGACATCAGATGTTTCCTCATCTGTGTTCTATACATGCATGAGTTGAAAGTCAGAATAAACATTTTTTAAGCTCAGCAAATTTTCCCCTCTGAGCCGGCCAGACGGTACAGCTAAACACTAAGATGGTGGTTAGTAATCAGGCCCTTCTTTGATGGTAATCGGTTTTTACTGATCAGTGCAAGAGTGTTTCCAATAATTCCCCCTTCATTTATGAAACAGAGTATGTGCTTAATTTGCATCAGCTATACATTGGAGCAAGCGTTTGCCATTTGCTTGTAAAAATAAAGGCTCAACAGCCATTCCACAAACTAAAATGGGGTTATTTTAGCTCTACATTCCAGTTCATTTTGTTTGAAGAAGAGAATTTTCTGACTGATAAGGATTCTAAAAATATTTTTACTCTGAGGCAATAGACACTAAGTTCAAAGTACAAATTTGCTTTTTTAACTGACTTCGAACACCGAAAAATATACTCTCAAGTTGATCTTTCCCCTACTTTTGTGAGTTTCCGTGGTATAGAGCTGAAACTCATTTTGCTTTACTTCTTTCAACAAAACATGATTTTTCTGGTGGAGCACTTGTTGCTTTTTCATGGTGCATTAAATAGCAACTCTAAGTAAGTCCAAAATACAGCTGCTTCTGTTCTGATAAGCAGCCGAAATTATCTAAAAAAAGGAGTACCTTCATTACGGCACATCTCTTTTCAGTCAGTAGCTTCCCAGTCCTATAATGCTTAGCATACTGATTATTTAAAAAGAAATAATTATGTCACTGAAGATTAATGTTAAAGAAACAATATCAACACTAGTTCTGGGGAGCTTAGCTTAAAGCACTGCAGAAGAAGCCCAGAGTCACCACCACCGCGGGGGAAAAAAAAAAATTAAGTGCATTTTAAAGCACTGTGTTTTGTTTTTTAATCCATTAGGAATGTCCACTCAGCTAAAATGAGTGACCCAAAATGAACTGATTTCTTTGGCCACCAGTAACAATTATATATATTTGGTTTTAAGCTAAGCTTAAGGAGATAGTTAAATATATGTGGTTTAGTTTCATGAGAATGAAGCCAGTCACATGAAATACTATTTTACGGGACTGTTTCAACAAGATGCCCAAAAAGAGAATTTTTTTGGTAATAATGCTTATGGAGAATATCTTAATATATTTAATGATAAATAATGATAAAAATACTTACAGTATGTCTTTGTATCATTCTTCCTTTCCTTTCCCAAATTTAAGTCCACTTAAAATAGTTTTCCTTGGACATAATATAAAATCTATCAATACTCTTTTTAAATTTTTATTTCAAATTCCATTGGCAGTATATTATTTTCATTTATTTATTTACCTTTTATAAAATTATAGTAAGAACACTTAACATATTATCTACCCTCCTAACAAAATTTTAAATGCACAATATAGTATTGTTAACGATGGGCACAATGCTATTCAGCAGATCTCTAGAGCTCATTCATCTTTTAATTTAATGCAATTGATTAACTGGACTTCTTAACAAAGGAAAAGTTTCAGACTTGAAACTTACCCATGCAAAATCCATTAATGACTGCACTATGACTTGGTCGTATTTCCAAGGATTCAGGAGACATCTGCAGATCTCCTTCAATTTTATAATTTCATTAAAAACGGCATCATTTGAATTCTTAATTCTTTTGCTGAATAACTTCTGAAAATTTTTATAAAGTTTATATTTGAATAGGAACAGAAATCTGTACTGATTAAGACCTATACAACTTAAAACATAGCCTTTTCTTTGCACATGACTGCAAACACCACCAAAATATCAGAACACCCATGGTATGACTTGAGTGAGGTCTCAAAGGTCAAGGTATCTACTACTACTGTAAAGTTGAAACTTATGGCTCATTTGTCATTGACGTAATGTACTAACATAGGAGGCAAGGTTGCATTTGGGCTAACAGCTTGAGTTTTACAAATGTTAACTTTTATCCATGATATCAAAAGGTTAACTTTCAAAAAAAGTGAAACAACTTGAGAACAGCTCCATGTTATTCTTGGAGGCACAGGCCCATTCCATGAAGTGAAAATTCTCTTAACAGGAATAATAGCAATGATTTTACTTTTAAGAGGTCAGCACTAGAATCAGATCAGATACCTTTGCATTTCATTAATTGTCCTGTATTTCTGTAGCTTTAGGGTGCTATGTAATTTACCACTGTGAATGTTTGTTAAGTGGGACAATAATTATCCCAAAGATTAACCTTACTATGAATAATGCAGGTAACCTGGGGCATACATTAATTCTGTGACAAAGTTTTGACTTCTCCATATGATTCTATTTTCTAGAAGGCACAGAAGTGAAAATGTAAGTTAAACTCATCTCATTTTTTTTAAAAAAGTTTATAATATAAATAGTATATATTAATGGAAGAGAAATGAAATTTATATCCCTTAAACCTTCCTTAGTAAAATCCTTAAATATTATGTTTGGCCATTTTTCATGCATCTTTATCAACTGTAACATCTGGTTGCATATATTTATAAGTACAAAGATTTCTAATACTTAAACCAAATAAGTTGTCTTTCCAGACAGCTTATCTGGAAAGTTGTCTTTCCAGACAGCTTATCTGGAAAGTTGTCTTTCCAGACAATTTATCTTTTTTCATAAAAAGATAATGGTCTATGGTCTATAAAAATGTGTTTATTTCAATTACATAGAGAATCTAGGTATATCTAAATGGACCTATAAAAACATATGCTTATGAATTGTTTAAAAAATCTTGTGGGCATGCCCGGTGGCTCACGCCTGTAATCCCAGCACTTTGGGAGGCTGAGGAGGGTGGATCGCGAGGTCAGGAGATTGAGACCATCCTGGTTAACGTGGTGAAACCCTGTCTCTACTAAAAATACAAAAAATTAGCTGGACGTGGTGGCACGCGCCTGTAGTCCCAGCTACTCGGGAGGCTGAGGCAGCAGAATCACTTGAACCCAGGAGGCGGAGCTTGTAGTGAGCTGAGATCACGCCACTACACTCCAGCCTGGGCAAGAGAGCAAGACTCTGTCTAAAAAATAAATAAATAAATAAAAACATTGTATTAGTTTTTTCTGAATGACTTAATTCTAGTCTTCCAGGACTATATTTTCTCCTTCTGTTGCTCTTTTAACTGTGGCTTTGACCATGCACCCCTTCTGCCTCTAACCTCACACAATGGTTTTGTTAACATAGATATGTCATTAATATGGTTATAGGTGGCCTTTGTGAGTGTGTGTGGTGTGTGTGTGTGTGTGTGTGTGTGTGTTTACATCTTTATTTTTTTCTCATAAATAACTTTCATATTCTTTAAAAAAAAGGTACAAAAAATATCCCAAAAAGTCTCAAATTTTGGTGGTCCATCTGTGGCACTAATTAATTTATTCCTAGTAGATATGAACCAAACACTATACTAAAGTTTAAAATAAAATGTTTGGAGTTATCAAGGTCCATTTGAAAAACCAATCCACATAAGAAATTATTTTTATAAAGGCATGTTAAAAATGGCAAGGTCAAATATAACAAAATATTACAAACACATCACTTCCTAAAAATGCTATTGTTGCATATAATGAAAGGTAGCATTTTGTAGGATTGGAGGAGTCTGATTTGTTTATTCCCCTCTCCTCAACAAATCAGACCCCTCCAATCTTACAAAATACATAGCAAAGGGTCTAACATATAGCAAAAGGTCTACTATATATTAGAGGCTTAGAAGCTTAGGACTAGGTATCTAAATTAAGAGGAGTATCTCTAAGAAAGTGGGATAGTTGGGCTTTAGGTGCTTAGGTGATTGGCAGGGAGGTACCTATTGAGGAATTCAAAAGGAATCAGTAGATCCGATCTGTGATATAAGTGCAAAGGTTTGAAAGGACAACAACTTATTAAAACAAGGGTATAGACAGTGTTTCCTGACATTCTATGCAAGGAAAGCCACATAGAATATGTGTGGTAGATATTTATGGAATGGGATAAAGGAGAGAGTCTTGCAGGGTGAAGCATGGCCTAGATAAAAAAAAAAAATAAAGATGAAGGGTTTGCTAATTATTCCAACATCTCAAATCTTGGGGAGAAAGCGTAGGGTCAGCAAGTTAATGCTAACACAGCAACATGTTATTGGGGGAAAGCAGATAATTTACAAAGTGCACAAATTCTGCTGACAGATATTTCTTTTTAGAAATCAGAAGATGTCTTGGCTGAAATATCCTATGATAAATCATGGGAGTTTGGAAAGAACAGTTGTCCAGGATGTCTTTGAGGACTATATTTGAAACTTGTATCACATAGATTACTTTATTTCTTGAGAACTCCTTGAATGATGCCTGATGGTAATGGAAAACCTCTCCGAGAGAGTAGGTGCAGGGAAACAGCTGGGGGCTACCCAAAGTCCTATGATATGAGAGGATAGGGGCAAGTAGCCCTTCTGGGGCTTCATTCTGAGAACTCCATCTGCACAGAAAGAGCCACCTCACCACCTTGCCCTTTGATTGTAGGCTATGCAATGTGATGTATGATTGATGAAATTGTGCTATTCTTTGCTCCATGCATCATAGGGAATCAAAGAGTCCAGCTGATCATGGCAACAAAACCTCTGCTTACCACAAGTGAACTTGCATCACTAAGAAGCAACCTATGTCTAATGACCTTCAGAGTGTCTACCCCCAGTGGTAAATTACAGAAGTAATCAATAACATAGTAAAACTGTCTAGTCTAGTATATCAGAGCGACACTGAATTAATAGTTGCTCTTTATTGATTATCCTATCATGAAAACGGAGAATTTGGGAAATAACTGACTGTCTTAGTTCCAGTCAAGTTATTGAGAAATGAAAAGTATAAAGCACTCCAGCTAACTGGGCCTCAAATATAAATCTTTTCCAAGGTGCACTCTATTACTCACAGCTTGTCAGTCGTATCTCAGCTGAAGGATTTATGCAATGTCTTCTTGGCACAGGGGCAATCTACTATAATTACCTACGTGCAGAATTGCTCTCAAATAGCATAAATGGTGGGTGACAGTTATGAATCCCAATTAGTATGGTCGCCAATCATTCAACGAGTAAATTGATCTGTATTTTATCTGTATACCAGCACATCAGAACCTGACTTAGAACAATAGTATAGATTTATCCATAAAGGCTGGTTAGGTCATTTTTTAATTTGCATAATATTTTTTGAAAAACCTAATTTTCTTTCCTTAAAGGTGACAGCCAAGTCAAGCATAACCTTTTATTTTAAAGTTCCCTGCCAGTCCATAAATCCCACTCTACTGCATGCTTTGTAACTCTCAGTAGCTTCTTTCTCCTTCACCTGCCTGTTGTTCCAGGATCTTCTGTATCCATGCTTACAGCTCCATTCTGGGCAGACAACCTTATATCCCTAGAACCTTGCTTTTACACTGACCACAGGTCAAGAAGCATTTATTGATTCATATAATCAGTTGCAACTCTGACCGAGGGATTCCTGAGAGAATGATCATTATGCTTCCAATAGCAGACATCAGGAAATACACTATCAACGAAATTTCCTGGTTTTGGAGGCTGTAGGATTTCAGAACTGCATTAGACTGTTTCTAATTTCTAAAGACAAAGAGGAAGAATATTAATTTTCTTATTGTTTGGCCACCATGATAATAGCATTCTGTTTTTAAAGGAAATTCTGTCATTTGTGACAACATGGATGAACCTTACATTAAGTGAAATAAGCCAGGGACAGAAAGACAAATATCACAGAATCTCACTTATGTGTGGGGTGTAAAAAATCAAACTTTCAGAGATTGAGAGTAGAACAGTGATTACCAGAGGCTGACGGGAGGAAGGGGAAAAGGAGAGTCAATGGAGAAAGGAAAGACACTGGTGAAAATGTACGAAGTTTTAGTTAGATGGGAGGAATGACTTCTGGTGTTCTATTGGACAGATGGCAACTATGGTTAATAATAATGTATATTTCCAAAAAGCTAAAAGAGTGGATTTTAAATGTTCTCATCACAAAAAAATGATAGTATTTCAGATGACTAATGTGTTAATTATGCTTATTTGATTATTCTACAGTACATACATATATTGAAAATTACACTGTACCCCATAAATATATCTAATTAATAATTTTTCATTAAAAATAAAAAATAGCAGCCTGTGCAACATAGCAATACCCTGTCTCTACAAACAATAATTTTAAAAAATTAGCCCGGTGTGGTGGTGCATGCCTGTAGTCCTAGCTGAGGTAGGAGGATCACTTGAGTCTAGGAGCTCTAGGTTGCAGGGAGCTATGATTGCACCACTGCACTGCAGCCTGGGCACCAGAGCAAGATGACCCTGTCTCTATTTAAAAATTTTAAAACTAAAAAGCAAAGCTTAACAAATTATTTTTCACAGGTATAGCAGGAGATAGGGGTGGGGTAGGAGGGAGAAGACTTAATTGTCTTAAGCATGACACAGACTTCTGAAAAATAAATTTCCTGCAAACTGAAGATGTGCCTCCATGTGCTAGTTTCTAATCTGTCTCTATTAAAAAACTAACTTTGAAACTCTTTGCTCATATACTACATAGCAGAGTGCAATCCCTCCCAAATCAATATTTGTTATATTTCACACTAAAAGAAAATTAAACTGCTTTTTAAAATCAGAGTTTATAATGCAGTGCCTAATTCATAGTTATTTACTGACAATTTTACTACAGCATGCCTTTGCAATTTCTGCAAACTGATCATTTTCTTCAAAAATAGAGAATAAAAATAAAGGCATGAGAAAAAAAGGTTAATGAAAATGCAATATAAATTTCAAAAGTTTAAAGCAACTTTTCTTTAACTTTACAAAAGTAATACTGCTCATATATTGAAGACTGATCCCATGCTGTAAACATAATCACTGTGGACATGAAAGAAATCATACTTTGTCTTAGAAATGATCATATCCTATGTTAAGAAGCACTTAAGAACAATAGCAACAATTTACATATTTTAGTGCTTTTCATTTCAATGATTTTTCATGGTGCTTTACAAACTTTAAAAGATGCTGAGCAGTTGCAATTCAAAAGCATACATAACTAGAGGAACAAAAAGGCAAGTTTCAAATCCAGTAAGGAAATGAACATGTAATCATTTGCTAGAATTTTTAGGTGAATGCAGGAGAAAGCATATCAAAGGTTGGTATATTGATTTACTTCGGCATGTATATATACAGCATATTTTATTGAGTGGTGAGTCTTTGGGGTGGCAGCCTGGACCCTTGTTGAGAATACAATTGACATGGCATTTTTAGATAGTCAGGTCTAAGGGAGAAGGCTTGGCCATTTCCTGCCCATTAGTCCACCCTGATCCTGTGCAGGCCATGCTCTGGATGCCCTCCGAGCTCTGAAGCTTGAAGTTGCCTGAGGACCAAGCCAGGCTCCCAGAAGGTGAGTTCACATAGTTTCTCTTCTAGCTCCCGGCAAAATCAAATCCTCTCTTACTCCAGGTGTGAGAGGAACGTCCATTGACCTCTTGCTGTCTCTAGGTGTGCTCAGGGTGTAATTAACTCTTAAAATCCCTAAGATGCCTTTTGGGTATTCTCCAATCCTGAGAAGCGGCTTAACATGGTGGTCAAGAGAAAGGGCCTTGCATTCAGTGGCTTGGTGCCATTGCTGGCTGTCTTGCACTGGACTATTAGTTACTTAATATTTCTAAGCCTCAGCCTTTCTATGAATGAAATGGGAATCATACACAGTACCACCTATTTCTTAGCTTTCTGTAAAAAATCAATTTCATTAATACCTGTATGACACTTATTACATTGTGTGGCACATAAAATAATTCAACTAATGCCCCTGTTATTCACGATTTTTTTTTTTGTTTTCTCAGCATTTTTTTCCTTTTCTCTTTCTGTCAAGCTGAAGGGGGACAGCATTACTTAAACAGGGTATCTACCACACTGCAGCACTTCTCATATTTTCCTTCTACACCTGACGGTACATTCTAGATCATAGAGTCAACATATATTACTGGAACCATGATCAAGGAATCAGAAAACATGGAGTTCCAGACCTGTGTCCCCAAGAACAGCCTACCTTTCTGCCACAATGGAATTTACAGTTTGTTTGGGTGGGTTAGTTTGAACTTGTCTCACTGATTATTGGAAATTAAGATATTACTATAGTTTTTAAGCACTTAGTTTAATAGGAGGAAATTCTGAAAATAAGATATTTAGGAAAATATTAGGTTCACATCAAATCAGGATTTTCTTCTTAGATCCTACCACTGAAACTAAAGATCAAGGCCATACTTACTAAATCTGAAATCCGATGTAAGGTGAGTTATGGCAATAGGAAAACAAGAAGCTATATTGATTTTGTAGCATGTATATAAAATCTTCCTTATAAACCCACAGAATAGCTCAAAATGCCTGATGTAAACTTTAGGTATTCTTGTCATATCGACTGAGAGTAACAGCCATTAATGAGGTCTCCCATAAAGGTAAAATAATGTATCCTTCAATGCTGACATAGGAATCAGTGTGAGGTGCTGGTCTCTTCTCTAGTCACTTTGCTTCAAAACACAGCTACTCTGTGCCACACATAACCCAAGTGGGGGATACATATGGGGACACTACTGAATAAAGTATATTGTCCTCAGGATGGTAAGTCTGGAAAGGGAGGCAAGCTTGAAAACATATTATGATGTAGCCAGAGAAGTGTTATAATCAGCAAATATACAACAGACCACATTAGCACAAAAAAGGATGACATTGCCTCTCTGGGAGGTAAGACAGACTTATCTGCCAGAGGAGATCCTTGGGCTGTATCTTGCAGCTTAATGGAAGGGGGCCTGTTAAATTCAGAGGAGTGGTTACTCTAGACAGGAGAAACAAAAGAGAAAGAAAATGCAAAAAGAGAACGGAAAAACTGTAGGTTAGAACTTAAGGCTCAGAGGCAGGAGAAAAGAAGTGGGGTCTGGGATTCAAAAGAAATGCAGGAGTCAGATAGATCATAGAGAGCCCCACATTAAAAATTAAACCTGCGAACAAGAACACAGGAAATTAGAAAATGATGACACATTTAGGAAATGCCAGTAGGTCAAAAGGAAGTGAAGTCAACATTAGCACTGCAGAGACAGCTGATTCAGTGTTCAACTTCTATGGTGTTTGAAGAGAAAGGGCAGGTATCCAGGGTGACCCTTTCATGCTCAAAAAGAAAAGGAAGAAAACATAACCCTTGGCATTCTTAAGAAGGAAAAAAAAAAGGCCTATATGTGTAGATAAATATACCTATTGATGTGGGAATTTTCTACTAACAAAAGTTTATATATATATTCATAAACTATATAAATTATCTACAGAGATTATTATCAAAACACTCAGGACAATATGTATATTTTATAGATTGATATGTATATAAATCAAATCTGTATCTCCATAGATACATAGATATCCCAGAGACAGAGAGACAGGGAGAGAGAGGAAAGACTGTACTCAAATCTGAAGTTGAATTGGAGAAAGAAATAAACCTGGATACATTGGTGGAGACTTTCTCCCTCAATACCTCAGTCATAACACTTGCCGACACTTCCTTCTCAGGGAACTTTTCTAACTTCCTCTCCCTCTACTGTGAACTGTTGCACCTCAGACAGCTGCCCTGTTGCCTCTTTTTGTTTATTTTTGAGCCCTGAAAATCAAAGTCATTTCAAAGTTAGCTGATGTGAAGCTCTGCCTACTGAACTAAAACAATGCAATGTGAGCAGATTGGCAATTCCAGGACCAAATTCAGTTAATGTGGTTGCACTTCCATATCCACAAACCTGTTATTTGACATTATGTGAGATCAGGGAATTAGTGCCTAGAAGTGAGGAAAAAATGGGAAAATATGAAATGACTGCTTACAGGAACAGTGACTGGATGTAATTTAGAATAGCACAACTTTAGTCCTGGAGGGGGCCTTGGAGATTTTTCAGTCCCTGAAGATATTAGCAACACAAATAGAAACCCTAATTATCCATTTCTGTTTTCTTTTCCTATATAAGGTGCACATTTGGCCTTTCTGAACCCAGCTTATCCAGCCCTATGTGAAGCATTCATAGGTGGCCTAAATGGCAGAATCCACAGTGCCTGAATTCAGACAAAAAATCTCTTCCTTCAGAATCCTTGCTGGAGTCATTCCTACTACTGCTGGTCATAGACTGGTCTAGGAATTGAGGAGTTGACTTGTAGGACTCAAGCATTTGACATGGAATTATTATCCCCTAGAAAGAGATGAACAAGGAGAGTTAGAGATGTGAGCTCTGAAAGGACTCACAGATAGGAATAACCAAGCAATGTTCACTGACAAAGGGAGGTTATTTTGCTCTAATCCTCTGTGGCTGAACAAGAATAGAAGTGTCCACTGCTTCTCACTGCTCCCATAGATCTCAGTAACAGAAAACTCTAGGCAGCTGGCAATAATGCCTCCTAACACCTGAGTTCTCTGTTACTGATTCATTGTGCTGCTCCAAGCTACAACCTTCTGTGGGTGTCTCAGAGAAGGCTCAAAGGCCCGGATGCCCCCTTTACAATCTGCTGACAGACTGTGCTGGGCCTGTGCAATAGAAGCTCCAATCTCCCATTCCCACTGTGAATTCACAGACTCTGGAACTCTGACGTCTCCATGAACCAGGTTTCAGACAATCACTGCTTATGTGTATTTATGAACATACATGGGCCTGTAGGGAGACTTAGGAACAAAACAGAGGGCTGGCATTAAGATCTTGGTCCAAAAGCCTTAATTTCCATGTGGGGAATTATTTGGTTGGTTTTTCTTGTTTAGCTAATTAGAGGTATCTGTCATAACATAAACATATACCTGTAGAACAAGGGAGTCATAAAGGGTTTGAAGTAGAATCTTTGCGATGTAAAATGTGCCACAGAGCAATTAGAGTATATTTTCACAAGCTCTATTAAACGGGTTGTGGAACTTAAGTCTGGAAAACCAATTTTACATCTCTTTGGAAGTGTTCTCATTTATTTGCCTAAGGGACAGTGTTACTGCTCACAGTTTGCAGTATTTAATCTCCCACTCCCTATCAAGCCTCTAAAACAAAATTGCCAGCTTATCAGTAGCACTTTGAAAGCCCAAGTATAGCTGAAAAGATTGGGAAGTTTGAATAAAGGAAAAGAAAAGTGATTCATTTCTTAGGGCTTCATCTCTTATGCCCCCAACAGCAGGGAAAAGCCAGTTCTGTACACAAAGCGCTACAAAGATTAACCCCATCTGTGTAAAATTAAGCAGCATTCTCATGCTTCTGCCTTGGCATTGGTGAATTCTCATCACAGAACAAACATAACACCCCAGTATCCAGCAGGCACACAAATAGAGTAATTAAAAGTAGTCCTTGAATAAAGTCCCAAGGCTTTTGGGACAGGAATTATATGGTGGCCATTTTGTAATCACCACAAGAAAGCTAGCTCAGCTCTGTAGATGGCCTCTGACCAGCATGTCCGGAAGTACATTTCTGTCTTTGGGAAGAGACTGCACTGTGATATTTCAACCAGGGTGGTACTCTTCTCTGTAGTGTAAGAAAATGGGTGGGGGTGTTATTTGGTGTCACAATGACCACAAGTTACTCCTGGAATATGGTGACCAGGGTGCCAAACATTCTGAAGTGTGCAATTTAATCCTAAACAATTAATAACTGCCTTGCTCCAAATGCTAAGAACATCTTGATTGACACACTGTTCTCACCATGGTGGAGCCTACGTAGAATCCCAGTGATGATTCTCATGGACACTGCTGCAGTTTACCCTCTTTAAAACTTACTGGGAATGAAAAAAGAAATAGAGATAGAATGCCAACAAAATATACACCTCTTCCACTAAAAATGTAAGCTATTTTTCTCCATCACAGAGGAAATCAATTTCTGAGATAAAGTTATTGGTGGAACAAAAGATATAACAGTAGAGGATTCCTCCAGCACATCTCTCTTACACAAAAATGCTCTGACTCTATAAAGTGAAATTCTTCTAGATTTCAAAAAAATTCTGTTCTTTAAAGCATATTGTTGAATGTATAACATACAATGATGAACACTGTATGTCTGTCATAGACTCTATTTTTATGTATAAATGAATCTTTCTTTCAAAATGTTGAAAGGCAATGCTATTCACTACGATGGCTCAACTTATGGAAGAACAGAATGTGTGGACAAAATGTGGAGCAAATGAACCTTCACAGGTTTTAGAATCTCTTTTTAACCCTTTTAGCAGATAGTATTCATACACTTCAAATGCCCAACGTTCTAAAACCAACTATTGACACAAAGAAATAAACAATGATACAAAAGCAAAGTGCTAACCTCTCCCTAGGGCATCTGTCTTAAAAGGGATCAAATCCATGAGCTAAAGTGAATTTCAGTGAGTGAGAAGAATTTCAAATGACAATAGGGCCTTTCCAGAGCTCTAAAATTCCTGCCACATAATCTGTATTTACTTAGTCTCTTTTGCACAGAAGTAGAAGTAGCTCAGAGCTGCTTCTATAGGAGGCAAAAGTGGTGGATTTTTTTGCAGTGGGGGCCACCATGGCCTCCAGCATTTCCTGTAAAATCCATCGGCCATCACTGAAGGAGGATGCTTCCTCCAGGGAAAATCTCACTCCGTGTGTCAGGGTAGCTTGCACTACCTTCCTGCTGGCAAGGTCCAGATCTTCTACATTGTGGTGGGTCCTAATCTTCTGGAATATGAGGATCTCTTCAAATGGCAAAAATATTTTGGAAACCCACACTTGCTATATGTTTAGAAACTGTTGATTGACACAATGCACAATGACAAAAGAAAACAAAGCTATACATGTTTAAGAATAAAATGATATGAGTCTGTATTTTATCAATTGTAAAAGTACCTGTCTACATTTAAAAATTAGTACATGTACGTGTAAAATAATATTTATCCAGTCTATAGAAACTGGTATACTTATGAATTTTAACTCAGCCCCTTGGGATTAACTCAGGAGTTCCCGAAGATCTGTATCATGGGACTGTGCTAGATTCATGCTCAGGCTTTGTAGTAGCCAAGTGGATTCCAGACCAATTTGGGTGGCCTCAAAGGTTACTAACATTAACTTAAATCAGGGAACAGAATCTAAATAGGAATGCAATTAATTATGTTTCTGTTTATGAGAACAGTAGTTCCATCGATTTTAGTTTTTTTTTTTTAAATAAAAAATTGGCTCTATTCTATGCCTCTCTAGACTTCCTTTTATTTAGCACTGTGATGGGTTTTACTCCTATCAATACTTACTGGTACTCTGATTCTAAGTGTAGGGGAAAATAGCATTCTTTAACATTTTGGAATAAAGGGTACCCTTTGACAGCTCTTTACCTAATGCACCCTGCTACTCAGCCATATGTGTCATTTTCTTGTACTGGGAATAAGCGATTAATTATTTATCTCTTTTAGCTGGGTAAGTTGTTTTCATTCTAAAGGCAACACAGAGGAAGGGATACAAGCATTTTGGAAGGTCTCACAATTAGTAGGTGTTAAGAATCAATATTATACCTGTAAGTAGGAAAAGAGAATAAAAAATGGCTTAGCTGATTGCCAAGATTCTAAATTAGATGGAATACTTCAGAATAATATAGGTTCTAACTGTTACTAATGTCCTCTCTTTGGAGCTAATATAAATATCTCCAGTTTAATTGACATATTAGGTAAAAACTGGGGAGAAACTATCTTTTCCTCCAAAAATAATCTTCACTGGGAAGAGGAGAAAGTTTGAAAATACCTTATAATATGGTTTAAATTGTCACAAGAATATTAAAGATAAAACAGAGCATGCTGGCTTCCAAGGAAGCCCTGGTTGCCAAGCCGCCTGCTACCCCTTCACTCTGCTCCTTCTATCACATACTCAGTCTCCACATGTGCAGTCTCCTTAAATTAATTTCAGCCCAGAATATTAAACCATATTCCTAGGCCAGGTGCAATGGCTCACATCTGTGGTCCCAGTGCTTTGGAAAGCTGGAGCAGGAGGATTACTTGAGCCTAGGAGTTGGAGGTTACAGTGAGCTATGATTGCATCACTGCACTCCAGCATGGGTGATGGAGCAAGACTCCATCTTTAAAACAAATAAATAAATAAGACAGAGAGTGAAAGGATGATTACCAGAGGCTGGGAAGGGTGGTGGGTGGTTGGTGGAGGGGTTGGGGGAAGGTTAATGGGCACAAAAAACATAGGAAGATGAATAAGACCTACTGTTTGATAGCAAAACTGGGTGATTATAGTCAATAACTCAATTGTACATTTTAAAATAACTGAAAGTATAACTGGATTGTTTCTAACACCAAAGATAAATGCTTGAGGAGATGGATACCGCATTCTTCATGATGTGCTTATTACACATTGCATGCCTGTATGGAAATATCTCATGTACTCCATAAATACATACACCTACTATGTACCCATAAAAATTAAAAATAAAAATTTAAAACCTAAAATAAATAAAATTATAAAAAACATATTCTACTTCTTGTTGTGTTACTGTAGATAAGCATGATATCTTATTTGCTAATTATTTCAAACACACACACAGACATACATACATACGCACATGCCGAGGAAAAGCTGACAGTGTTGTTAGTTGTGTTAGAACCATGCGGTAAAGAAATGGTTATATATAAATGTTCACTGAAGTGACATGGAAGACATTCCGCCAACACTAAGTAACGAGACACTATGGTCAGGGAAGTAACAGGGTCTCTTACTGTGTCAATCATGAGGAAGCTGGGGGCAAGGAATAATCCATTCTGAATATGTCATCACCAAAGCCTACCAGAGCGCAAGCAAGAACTCCCTCTTAATATCCCTACTCAGGCTCTTTCAGTAGCTTAAAACTAAGGAAGCAGGTTATCTAAAAAGTGTTTATTCTTCTAAATTCAGACTGAGAATGAAAGAAAGGATGTAAAGGGGAGACTGTTGGACACTCACAGGGGTGCTGACAATGTAAAGTTAATGTTGTGCAACCCGCTGAATCCATCTGATCATTAATTCACAAACCTCGGCAGTAGGGATGACAGCTACTGTGCCCAGAGGCTCAGTCATGCCTCAGCACTACCCCAGTAATTGTCTCCCAATAAAAGACATGCAGCCTGTCCCATAAATGTTGCAGCCATCAGTGGCATGAGTCAGGCCTTTAGGTCCTCAGGTCCTGTGGGGATGACAGCAGAGAACACGTTTCTGGAACTCCTCACCCACGCTGACAGATGCCCTTTCAACATGCAACTCTGTAACAGGCAGACTACTACACTCCTCAACAGCCAAGTAATCAAACCTTTCCCAAAGATATCAATTAGATTCTGTGGTGGTTTTCCTGAGCTATTCAATAGCTAAAATTATAATGTTGCCAGTGGTAATAGATTGCAACCGATTATTCCTAAGTGCTACCTTAGGCATTTTCTTTTTTTTTCTTTTTTTTTTTTAATGTAAAACACATAGAGAAGCAACAGTTCATCTCTTGTGTGAAGAGCATAGCATTTGCCTGACATATAATTTGAAACATCTCAGCCTTGACTTACATAAGGAGAGCCCTGCTGAGCTCCTGAAGATGGCATGTCTTCTAAGAAACTGCTGGAAGTGCATATTGCAGACGAACATGAGCTCTGAAACATCATCTAACTCCTCCATACCGTATTTTGTAAGATGGCTTGTTTACCATAGGAAGAACCTAGCAGGGTCTTGTGACCTAAAATAGATTGAAAATTATACAGTCTATGTGGTCCTCTACTTACTCGGAACCAACTTACTCCTAGAATCCAAATCACAACATTACAATCAGAATTAGAGTTCATAGATTTTTTTCTGGACTATTATACTCAGTATGCTCATCAGAAACAATAGAGCTGATTAATAGTATATTAGAAATACTGTCAGAGAAAATACAGCCTGAGAGAATTATTAAAGGGCATGTCAAGCCACACTGACATACATACCACACAAATCAGAATGGTGTGGCTGGAATTTAAGTGAGAGAACAAAATGGAAATGAGAGAAAAGAAAAGTGGTAGGCCAATGGGGGAGGAAGAGAAATCCTTCCACTAAAAGCATAGTGGAGCTCCCCCTTGTAATCCGAGCTCTCTGAGAGGCTGAAGCAGGAGAATCACTTGAGCCCAGGAGTTTGAAACCACCCTGGGCAAGATGGTGAGACCGCATTTCTACAAAAAAAAAATTTAAAAATTAGCCAGGCATGGTGGTGCACACCTGTAGTCTCAGCTACTTGGGAGGCAGAGGAGGGACGATCCCTTGAACCCAGGAGTTTGAGGCTGCAGTGGGCTGTCATTGCACCACTGCACTTCAGCCTGGGTGACAGAGTAAAACCCCATCTCTATAAAAATAAAATTTAAAAAATAAATAAAAATAAATAAAAATTACAAGTAAAAAGGACTTATAGCCACAGGGACAAAGCAAATGGTGTTTTTTTTTTCTTCTTTTTTCTGAAAACCTTGAAAAGGAGTAGTTATCAGACACACAATCATGGGAGAGAAACTGAAACTCAACAAAAATAATGTATTCTCAGAACTTTAAACCTAATGACTAACACAATGAAGTATAGCACATCCTCTAGCTACTATTGGTGGTGAGGCCACATCCCCTACATTCCTCTGATTTCAGGAGGAGAAAACCTGAGTCTGCCTCCACTCCATACAGGCTTGCTTCCTCTTACTTCTAGGCATTTTTTGTTTGTTTGTTTGTTTGTTTGTTTGTTTTTCTTTTTTTGGGACTTGAAAAGCTGTAACTTGCAAAACAGCACTCTATTCTTGCAAAGTAGCCAACTCTGTACTCCTCACTCTACAGATGAGGATCCAAAGACAGGGAGTTTGGAGGCATACAGAGAGTAATTAAGTAGGCTTTCTGCTTGCTTTCCTCCCTCCTTTTGCACACTGGTTTTGTCTCCAGAGGAGAAGTGAATGTAGACAGAGACCTCTCCGGATTCCCCTGGACATCTGGAAAAGCACTGTGGCATATGCTGTGAACCACTCCCACAGGCTCAACTTCTGTTGGACTCGCCTTGGAATCACCATGGTGGTAGTTCAGAAACAAGGCAGTTAAAACCATACTAAGCAGCTACCAAATGCCTGGCCTCACGCCCATCCAACCAACTAGGTAAAATCATGCGCCTCACAAGGGTTGACTGAAGTGGTTAGTTGGTGTCATTTAAAACTAATCAGGCTTGTTTCTAGTTCTGATCACAATTATAGCTGTGTTTTTAAGCTAATCTGCTGAGAACGGAGAACACGTGGGCTATACTGGGGTGTGTCTATTTTTATTTATATTCCAATTGTATATTTTTTACACTGAATCTATCTCTATCTGCTTCAGAGATATTTTACCACAGATCTGATTGAAATAGGAAGTAGCAACCACTATAAAGTAACTTTTATCCTTGAGAAAATATAGCCCTGAAGAAGTTAGTCTTAGGGTATGATGCCACTTTTATTTTTTGGTATGAATAGTTATATGCCATTCCCCATTATTTTTTAATAGCAGATCCAATATTCATATTTCTCAACAAAAGGGAAAAAAGGTTAACTACCTTCCAGCAGTAGCTCCTTGTATTCTAGTTTGCTACTAGAAATAGCCAAGTAGAATTCCCAAACAACAAATTTTCGTAGAAACATCCCACACACTGTGATCATTGGAATCTTCACTACTACTTTCTCCCTGATCGCTTATTCCTTTTGCCCTCCTTTGTCTTTACAGACAAATCTTACCAAATTTTAAAGACTCTGCTTAAATTCTATTTATTCTAATATTTTCCTACCATTTCCCAGATACAGTTTTCTCTCCCCTAAGTCTGTTTGTCATTTATTAGGCTTAAATGCACACTACCTTTTCTTTTTCACAACTTTCTGTTCTTTGTTATAGAAAATTCAAAACATCCAAAAGAGCCCTAGAAAATAAAATGCTATTACTCAAATATGCTGTCCAGGAAGTTAGAATACCCCAATAAATGGTATTTATAAATGCCCAGTTTTCAATATTTTCTCCAAAATATAGTGATTTTAATCCATCTCAATTTGTTAGAAAAAGGATAATCTTTTGCCATTTGACGTTGTATTTTTTTCGTCACAAGTAAGGCTGAAAAATTTATAGGTTGCTATTGGCTTCTTGGCTTTTTGGGGGTAATATCAGTTTAAGCCCTCTGTCTTTTTTCCCTGGGGTTGTTCATTTTTCATTACTATTATTGCTTTTAATTATAGAACCTTTACATATTATGCAAAGCATAATGTCATACATGTTATAAATATTTATTGCAATTTTTAAGTTTTATTATAATGCTCTACTGTTTAAGTATAAATTATTTAATGTAATCTGTTTGAAAATAAATTGAGATTCCTAATATAATGGTAGATTGTGTTGTAAAAGACCTATCCTAGGAAAAGTACTCAGTAAATATTCTTCAAGTAGCATATATCAAAGATTATCAAGTAATAGTCAAGGAAAATAAAAAAAAAGTCAAAGAAAAAATTCTGTACTGCAAAACGGTAGAAAGCAGTGAATTTCTTAGGATAAAACCAAAAATTGACCATATCCAGGAAGTGTAAGATAGAATTATAATATGGTTAAAATATCTTACCAAAGATAAAAGTAGGTTGGAAAATATGAACTACAAAATATAATTAACAGGAACTTAAGGTTAAAACAATCAAAGTTAAAGTACACTTAAGAAAATTCCAGGATTAAAAATAATAAAGAGTATGTGAGAAGTTGAAACATCTGAAGAATGGAAAATGGGATCCAATGTGTAATAATAACATTTCTGAACAAAAATAGTATAGTTGATTACTTCAGAAATGAAAAAGAAATAGGACTAGAAATAGCATCTTTGATTCTCATGTACTATATAACAATAAGAAACTGAATCCAACTGAGAGCCTCATTTTAGACAAAATATACAAATGACGAACAGTATTCTATGTACTTTTAAGAAGACAGCGTAGTCTATTATGAGATATAAGTCAGATTTCTTTGTGTTCCTCTATGAAAAAGTAAAAGCGTAACAATAATGGAAGAACATATACTCAAAACTGAGGTATTGTTCGTTTTCACTTGTTCATGAAAATAAGACACTCTTATCCCTTCAAAGACTTAGAAAATTCACTAAAGATATTCACTACAAAATCCGCTGGACAATTAATAAAGTATTGTATTAATTACCAAAGTAAATGCTACTCATTTGAAGACATAATTAAAGAACTTTGTGAATTACTGCTAATAATATTAACCAATTTAGAGAATTCTTAAGACTTAATTATGAATGGAATAAGATATAGGATGAAACTGCATATGAAGCCATAAACGGCAAAATTCCTTGTCATTTATAAAAACTTAAGAAAATATAGAATTAGAAATGTTGTATACTATTTTGCAATAGGCACTGATGATTAAAAATTGAGTGATAAACTTTTAAATTACTTAAAGATAGAAGAAAACATGGCAAATTCCACACAAAAATAAAAAAAGCAAAAAAAAATTAAATCACAAAAAGCTACAAATAAAAAGTGAAATAAGTAGGAAGAGATCAAAAATAGGAATTACTACATAAAACATGAAACTGTCTCCCTCACCTCATTTAAAAGTCAGAAATTCTCAGATTGCATTTAAAAATTCAACAAGTGGCTGCTTACAAAGCAATATGTCATTTAAAGGCTAAAAATAAGAAATTCAACAAAGATCTATCAATCAAATTTGAACAAAAGAATAGTATCGTTGGTAATATTGAGCAAAACAGAATTTAAGGCAGTAAGCACTACATTCGATTAAAGCAGATTATCATACCATTATAAAAGACAGTCAATCAGAAGCAAGTCACAACATCATATTTTCATCGAGCAAATACTGTACTTTAAAACATTTTTGTTTTTACATTATCTATTATCAAGTCATACTATGAGCCAGGCACTACACTAAGCACTGTGAATACAGATGTGAATAAGACCCTCCCCTGAAAGGCCCGCAGTCTAGGAAAGAAGAAAGGCATCTAAACAGGTAACTGCTGAATACAGAGGCTCCTTGAGTTACAATGGGGTTATGCCTTGGTAAACCCATTGTAGGTTGAAACAATGGTAAGTTGAAGATGCATGTCACACATCTAATCTAGCAGATGTCATAGCTTAGCCTAGCCTACCTAGAGCATGCTCAGAATGCTTACATTAGCCCACAGTTAGGTAAAATCATCTCCACAAATCCTATTTCTTAATGAAGTGTTGAATACCTCATGTAATTTATTGAATACTGCCCTAAAAGTGAAAAACAGAATGGTTGTATGGGTAGTCACATACGCAGCCAAAAGCACATTGATTGGGCCTGAAGAACATTTGAGGAATTGAACTAAAATTAATTGCTGGATGATGGGAATGCGACAGCGACAGGGCCATCAATTTCTCTCTCTTCTGATGAGGCTGGAGAATAGCTGGTAGAAGGCACTGGGGCACTGACACTTGCTGATGGTTTAGTAGGCATAGTGTGTTTCAGGAAGATACTAGGTTTGACTGTACAGTCTCTTCTTTTCATTATTTATTTCCCTATAACAAGCAAGAGCGTCCTGTAGCTGCCTGTCAGCTCTTTCACATCTCTTGTCATTGATGTTCATTTCTTTTAACATCCTGGTGCCACTGCTGATAGTGGCAAAGGCCTCCACCAATTTCTTTTCTGTAAACTTTATTAATGCCTCAGGTATATCTTCTTCTACCTCCCTTTGGCCTCAACTTCTTTACTTCTTTCTTCTGCCAGTTCAATCAGCTCCTCACTGGAAAACTCTTCAGCCTCAATGCCAACAAGCTCATGAATATCTTCTTCATCAGTGTCTAATTCGAGCTGTTCCTCAAGTAATAAGACTTTATTACTTAATATTTCATTAATAGCAGAATATTTATTAAAAGCCTTTGAACATGTTCACATATGTCTTCAAAATTTTCTTGCAAATCCTGTTCATGAATTGCCGTAAGGCTTCTTTCCATGGTTCAGGGATGTTCTGGACAGGATTTAGAATGTTAAACCCTTTCCAAAGCTCTCAGAGCATTGGTCCAGATTCCATCACTTTAACAGCTTGTACAAACATTTGGTGTCAAGAGTAGGCTTTGAACCCAGCTGTTGCACCTTGGTCCACTGGTTAAATGAGTTTGGTTGTGTTCCATAACAAATCTTTACATCAAGATGCATATTGCTGCTATGCTATAGACACCTTTGGGCATTGTCTAAGATCAGAAGAGTCTTGAATATGGTGTTGTTTTGCCTCCAATATTCTTTTGCTTGTGGATTAAAACAGTTCAAAAATCAATTTTCAAACAATGCTGATTTCATCTAGGTTTTCCTGTTATGGTGATAATAAATTGGAAGTGTATGCTTGCTCACATTTTTTGATGCTCTAGGGTTCTCTGAGTGGTAGATTAAGAAAGGCTTTAATTTGAACCCTGCAACATTTCTACCGAAAAGCAGCCTTACATGTTCTGGGAATGCCTTGAATCTTGGCGTTGTCTTGGACTCTTCATGAATGTATGTATGCTCCGACATAAGCTTCCAGAATAAGCTCAGTTTATCAACATTAAATATTTGTTCTGGCAAATATTTATCATCTGCAATTATCCTATGCACCTTCTGTACTGGCACTTCCTGCCTCACCACTGACCTTCGCATTGTGACACCTACAATTATGACAGCTTTTGAAGAGTTGGAATCACCCTGACTTGCTATAAATGTTTGCATGTGCATAAGATCATTGGTACACTTTTGTAGTATATCAAAACAGCTTCTTATCTTAGCCTGACTCATCATTAGACTAAGCGGTATGTGGTTCTGAATCTGGCTTTCCACTCATGTGATAACTAAGGTTTCCAAATCATCAATCAGCCTAGCTCTTTTCTTCATGAAAAGAGTGGATTTCACTGATGCTGACAATTTCATTATCACTGATTTGTTTCTTATCCTTCATGATGGTCAAAATCATGGATTGTGAAAGTCCTAACTCACATGTGATGGCCATTACTGGCTTGCTGCTTTCATGCTGGGCAATTATTTTGAGTTTCGTCTCAAAAATAACTGTCTTCTTCTTCTTATCATCAGAAGCAGATGATACAGATGGGCACATAGACATCGTAGGATGGGAAAACAAAAAACATCATATCCAAAAAAGCTGGCAACACAATACACTAGCATATTGGTTGCTTACCCTCCTGATCCTGTGGGTAACTGGGAGCTGTGGCTTCCTACTGCTGCTTATCATCTCAAAAGAGAAAAGATCAAAATTTGAAGTACAGTTTCTTCTGAATGTGTACCACTTTTGCACCATTGTAAAGCCAAAAAGTAGTTATGTCAAACCATTGTAAGTTTGGACTGTCTGTAATTTGGTAAATAATAATAGAAACAGTAAGAAGTATATGCAAGGTAAAGACCTAGTGTGGAGAAGTCAGTGACTTAACAAGGTGATGAGAGGAGGGAGTATCAGAGAGGGTCACAGATGAAGATATTTGGGGAGACATTTAAAGGATGATGAAGTTTCTTTAGGTCAGATAAAGGTCAAAAAAAGGAGTCATTCCAGGCAGAAGAAGGAAATGGTGAAAAGGCATGGGACATAGAGGGACTTGAGAAAACATCTGGAATATAAAGAGCAGGAAGAAGAATAGTGAGATTTGAGGCTGGAAGGCTGAAAGGAAAAAATTACAAACAAAGGAAGTCAGGTAAGCAATGTAAGTATTCTGAACTCTCTTCTGTAGAGAGTTGAGAGCCTAAGATCGGGTTTGTCCAGGGAATGAGCTGGATTTGCATGTAAATGGAGGACTCACCTGTGAGCCTGGGGAACTGACTGACCTGAGCTCAGATTGGAGTTGGGAAGGCTTTTGGAAATGAGCTATGTTCCCCCACTGTGGAGGTGGAGAGGAGGAAATGGAGAGAAGGAAATGGATTTGAGATATATATACTTTTTTTTTTTTGAGACAGAGTCTTGCTCTGTTGCCCACACTGGAGTGCAGAGATAGATGTGATCTTGGCTCACTGCATCCTTCGCTTCCTGGGTTCAGGCAATTCTCCTGCCTCAGCCTCCTGAGCAGCTAGGACTACAAGCATGCTCCACCACACCCAGCTAATTTTTGTATTTTTTTTTCAGTAGAGACGGTTTCACCATATTGGCCAGTCTGGTCTCGAACTCGTGATCCACCTGCGTCAGCCTCCCAAAGTGCTGGGATTACAGGTGTGAGCCACCACGCCTGGCCGAGAGATATATTTATGTTACAAAATTTGACAGTGCTTGATGTCAGATGAGGTGACAACACCCTATTTTTCTTACTTATAAAAGTGGAGGAATTGATCAACTGTAAAAAAAAAAAAAAAAAAAAAAAAAAGACTAGGGAAAGCAGGTTTGGAGGAAGACAAGGAGTTTAGATGTGAACATCGTGAGTTGAAGGTCCTGGTAGGAATCCAGGCAGAGAAGTCCACTTGATTTCCTGGGAAGAGAGGTCAGTGGGCACTAAGAAGTGGAATGCACGGGGATGGAGAAACTCAAGGGGATAGATTAGAAAAGCAGGTTGAAGGCAGCAGTTCATGGGTAGAGACGAGCTTCATCAATGTAAGGACTGAGCTGAGGAAGATAAAAGAGTGAAGAAGAAACAGTGATGAGAAAAGTCAGAGGTCAGGAAAAACACTGGCCATGGAAGTCAAGCGGGTAGAGACCTCCCATGTGGAAAGGTCAACAATGTTAACCGCCGGGAGAGGAAAATCAACCACAGAAGATGTATCTAGTGACAAACACATTGGCAAAAACTGAGAATAATCTGAAACACAGTATAAAAGGAATTAAACCTCCTCCAGCAGGGAATAAATCTGTACTCTAAAGTATTTTTGCTGTATTCGCCAGAAAACCAAAATTCAATATATACAAAATTAGAACTGTATTTTATACATTAATTTCACTAACGTAAAGTCAGTAAAATTACAAATTAATGCCATTCAGTATCAGCAGAAAACTTAAAAAAACCTTCTGCTCAGTATTTCTAAGTATCAGTTTGATCAGGATTGAAGTAAACTCACCATACACACAATACCAATGAAAGCAAGGGATATTAAATATTGGTCAAAATAGTACACAGGGAGACATTCTTGAATTGTTTCTATTAGTTAAAAAGGGAAAAATAATAAATTTTAATTCTTAAGATCTGTTAGAAAGGAAAATAAAAGGAAGGAAATAATAAAGATGAAAGGAACAATAAATATATTAGAAGCCATTAAAAATCAGAATAATATAAACAAAGAGTTGGCTCATAGAAGAGTACAATAAAACAGACAAATCACAGGCAAATTTAAATTTTTTTAAAGCAAAAACCTATAAACAAAGAAAATTGGAACAAGGAAATAGACTGTAAGAGCCACAGTAAAAAATAATGAAAATTAGAGAAAAATGTTAGTCTAATGATGAATACCTTAAGATAATACATTTCAAAGTCTCCATTTAGTGATTTGTTATTTTTATCTATTAGGATGAATAGTATTGGCCACATTATATCGTTTTTTAATTTTTTTATTATTTCATTTTTTTAAGGAAAACACTTATTGTAAGCATTAGAGATAGAAATTCAAGCTTAGGTCTTTCAGACACCATAGCTTTGGTGTAACTCCTCTACCCCATGGTCTGTGATACCTACACCTGTCTACTTGACCTTTCAGTGTCTCACATACCAAGATCTTTCTATATTTGCCAGCACAGATATCCTCTCTACCTGCAGTCTCTATCTCTGGGCCCTGTTGCTCATGATAGACTCTTGGAAGTTATTCTTCTACTCATAGACCACCATTTCTCTAAATCACTGCTTGTAGCTAACTACAACTACTTTTATTTCTGTACCTCCACGTTTTTCCTGTAACTTCAGGCCTTCTTCATATTCTCTGTGGAATCCTGTACACGACCCCTAAAATTTCTCCCTCCGTGTAGATCTACCCACTCATTTTTCCATAGTGAAACATGCTCTGAAGTATCTTCTTCAGTTACGTACACAAGTACTGCAGACGGGAATGTTGGAAACCCATATTTTACTGGTAATATTCATCTGGTTTGTTTGCATCCATACTTCCAGCTTGTTGAAAGCACTTGAATATTGATTCTGTCACCATTTTATTAATTTTCTCCAAGTCTGTCATCATTAGCAAATTTGATGAGCATGCTTCTTATCAGTGTGATGATCTTTGATAACAGTGATGAGCTATATAGACACGGCCAAGAACAGCACCCAGAGGCATGACATGAGGTGTCAGCCTCTCCATTGATATCCCCACATTAATCAACCCATCCGGAGACAACTGTTCCATCAGATACAAAACCACTTGTCTGTCTTGTCATCTGGCCCACATTTATCCATCTTGTTCACAAGGCTATCAAGAGATACTTGAAAAATGTTTCCTAAATTCTAATCACACAATGCCTGTAACCTTCCCTTGAAACATGGCATAAACAAAAGTGCATAGATCATGATAATCAGCCATTTGTATTTTAGGGCCAACTTCTTCAAACTCTCTATCATTTAATGAATTATAGGAGATTTCTTCTCACCTAGAAAGGCCATCAAAATAGAAGTAAGGCCAGCATCAAATGAGTTAAACTCAACAATATTTATATTTAAATTGAGCTTATTTGGCACACTTTACATGGAATCATATTTCCATCTTGTTCCTACTTTGAAATGTTCATTCTAAATTTTCAGTTTGAAGACAGATCTCCACGAATAAAAATATAGACACCACAAAGTATTTATTTATGTCAAATATCAAACTTGGTACATGTTCTTTCTTATAAAACAATCCAGCCAAGGACCTATGGAGGGTGAATTAATCCTGACACAGGATATGGCTAATCAAGCAACTCTCAAGACAATTCTACATTTGTTATTTACATTTTTTTAGTTCTGTCTCATTTTCTGACTCTGTTCTTACTGGAATAAAAATATAATATGTAAATATAGTTCTTTTTAAATAGTGAAAACTATAAAATTGGGAGGAGTCATAATTTGATACAACAAGGTAAGATGAGAGAGAATTTGCCAGAGATTTGGAGAATTAGGGATGTGTATAAAGACTAATGGAAAGTTCAACAAGTAGGTCATGCTAACACTATTTAAGTAGAGTAAGAGTGCTGGGGGTAAGCATTTACTGGTTTATGGAAAAAAGCAAAACTAATAACCAATCAATAAAGTTATTTATGCAACAGAGGATGGACACAGAAATTATAGAAAGCAAACATAGATATAGGGAGATTAATACAATATAATTTAAACTCAGGGGCGGGGCTATGCTGTCTATATTACGTCTAAGGAAGAGCACTGAATCCCAGGTTTGTAAGAGAAGTAATGACAAAGAAAATATGTGAGATGAGCATGAGCATGAGAAACAGGAGACCACATTCTAACAAGGATTAAATAACTTGCCCTGTGACTCCATGTCTTGTAGAAGACAAGATTAAGAAGATTCTGGGCCAGGTGCGGTGGCTCACGCCTGTAATCCCAGCACTTTGGGAGGCTGAGATGGGTGGATCACGAGGTCAGGAGATCGAGACCATCCTGGCTAACACAGTGAAACCCCGTCTCTACTAAAAATACAAAAATATTAGCCGGGTGTGGTGGTGGGCGCCTGTAGTCCCAGCTACTCGGGAGGCTGAGGCAGGAGAATGGCGTGAACCTGGGAGGCGGAGCTTGCAGTGAGCCCAGATGCACTCCAACCTGGGCGACAGAGGGAGATTTCGTCTCAAAAAAAAAAAAAAAAAAAAAAAAGATTCTGGATGGGTATCGGTATACTACAAAAGTTCAAACATAATAGAAAAACTAACTTTGTGATATATTAGGTACATTATTTGGTTTCTTCAATAATTATAAAATCAATAGCATCATGTTTTTCTAATTGCAAACATATAAAAAAACTAATGAAAAACCATAACAACTCCTTATTTCCCTTTCCAGAAACATTCTTGTTAACCACACAGTTTTCTCTTTTAAACGAGATAGTTTTCTACGTAAAGTAAATGACCTTTTGAAGCTTTGCCTCAAAATTAGCCACAATGTCCCAGATTGTAATTAGGCATCAGACTGTTTGAGTCTTGTATTTATTCTTTTTGTACCTGAATTTATTTTTCAATCATTTTAGAATTGTTCTTTGAAATTAGCATTAAATTCATCTAATGTATCTTGCAAGCTGAACTGCCACAAGCTGAACTGCCACTTGCTTTCTACTAAAAGCTTTGAAATATGATCAGGAGATTTTATCTCATAAAATATTTGCATTGTTTAGCAAATGTGATACTGTCATGGTACAACAGAGCAATTGTAATATTAAACTGTTTATCAATTTCAGCCCCACTTATCATTCTGATCATGTTTTGAATTCCTCCCAGCAAAAAGCTGCCATAACTCTGGCCTAATTACAGAACAATGCTTCTTGACCTTGACTTTTTCCAGTCTTTATCCTTAATTGCCGCACAATGCTTTAAGAAAACACTTGTCCATGGAATTAGACTCTGGCATTTGAAATGTTTCTAAAGTAAATAATTTAGTTCCAGCTACATGTTTACTTTAGGTGATTACTCCTTTATGTCCTCTAATCTGGCATCATTTTACTGCACAAAACTTCTTTAGTACACTTTCAACAAAATGTATATCAACAATAAATTATTAATATAATTAAAATTAGACCTTACGACATAGAACAATGTGCCGTTGCTATAGTATTCTCTAGTGATTTGTAATTTCAAAGGTGTTTTACAACTGTCTTACTGGTTATTGGAAACAATTCTTCAATGACTTAGATCATTTGTAATTGAAAGGGGATGGTGAAGTCCCAAATAAAGGGGAACACCATGATTTATCTCCCCTGCTTTAGGTTTTTAATTCCAATTCAGTGAAGCCTTCTCTGACTGCCCCATACAATGAAAACCCTTCTCTCGATCTCTTTCCTCATTTTATTTTTTCTTCATAGTACCTTTCACAATCTGACAAATTATGTATTTTACTTATTCATTTGATTTACTGTGTGACTTCTTTCCCCAAACTCTCATTAGACTATAAATTTCATGCAGGCAGTAATTTCCTAAGGGATTAAATCCCTACGCTAGTGTTAGAACCTAGAAAAGGGCCTGACATACAATGGACACTCGATATGTATTTGAAGGCTGGGCATGGTGGTTCACACCTGTAATCCCAGCACTTTGGGACGTGGAGGCGGGTGGATCACGAGGTCAGGAGATCGAGACCATCCTGGCTAACAAGGTGAAACTCCGTCTCTACTAGAAATACAAAAAATTAGCCAGGCATGGTGGCAGGCGCCTGTAGTCCCAGCTACTCAGGAGGCTGAGGCAGGAGAATGGCGCGAACCCGGGAGGCAGAGCTTGCAGTGAGCCGAAATCGCACCACTGCACTCCAGCCTGGGCAACAGAGTGAGACTCCGTCTCAAAAAAAAAAAAAAATGTATTTGAAGAATTAAGAAATAAAAAGTTTCCTATTTACTTATTTATTATGTATAATTAAAAGTTTCTTTTGAGCTTTAATACATACAGGAAAAATGACTCCCTTTTATATATTCAAGGGCACATTACAGAAGCCACATGTCATGCTTATAGAAGGAGAAAATTCATCACCTAACTAGTTTTCTTCTCTTATCTATTGTCTGATGGGGAAGGTAGGGAAAGTCCATTGTGGGAGATTCTAACAATTTTCCCATGAATTTATGCACATTTCAACTAATGGGAAAGGCACTGCGGGCCATATTACTTCCATATCTAGCTATCTACAAGAACTCTTGTAGATACTGGAGACCTCCAGTAGCAGCTTCCTTTTGTCCCATCTCATATCTGACCTCTGTATTGGGTAACTGGCCAGAATGTCATTATATCTTTACTGAAAACCATTGATATTTCATGTGTGTGAGTGTGTGTGTGTGTGTGTGTGTGTGTGTGTGTGTGTAAAACCAAGTGCACTTGGAATTTAAACTATCACTGTGAGTTGTTTTGGAGGACAGACTAAAACAAAAACAGGTTTTATGTGAACTAGAGAACTGCTAAAACAGTGAACTTTACAGTGGCAGATAGGAAGGAAATAAGCATAATCCTTTCATAAAGTATCAGAATGTGTAGAATTCAAATTTGTTTTTCTTTCTTTCAAACTGTCCAGTCCACAATCTGAAATTCTAATATGGCTTCCTACGAGGGGTGCTTTACTTCCCCTCCTCTCTCTCCTACTCCAAACCCCCATGTCTCTACCTCTGAGAATTATTGTGTGATGGAAGTGTTGACTATTATAATGTTAACCATGAGGATTAAATGCAGAATGGGAAAATGCTGACAATCTCTTTGGCTCTGTTTTGAAGTCATTTCTAAGTAAATATGTGGTATATGAATTTTAATTTTGTTTTTAAAGTAATATGTGAAGCTGTAGTCTGAAAACGGCTTAGAAGCTATGGGAAACTAATATATGGGAAAAAACTGTCATGAAATGACCCAAATCATTCTTTATGGTCACTGTGCTTTCAGAAAACATGGGTGATCATTTTACCAAGCCCGACCAGATACCACTATTCAGAACAACTTCTGTCTACTGTAGGCCAAAAGTCAAGAATATTCAGCTCATTAATGATGAAAAAGCTAACATATGAAAAATATAATAATGATAATAATAAGGTATATATCCACTCAGACATTCCATTGGTCATGAAGATATATTCGAAGACTATTTAGCAGGCATTAGCCATATTACATGAAGCACTAGCATTTTCCTTAACTTAGATTGCATTTTGTTGCTATTTGCAAATATTAAGAACAGGAAATTCACTGATATCCTATGACGTATCAAGTTGTTTGTCCAGGTAAAAAAGTGGTTGGTAATCTGGCACAAGTTGTAGATATCTTTAGTCTGAAAATATAAGAAGTTTGAGGAGCATGACATCAAGTGAGTTTTCAGTGTTGCTTCAAGTCTAAGGCTGCATAATTCCGAGTACTTTTAAAAACATACTTCTGCTTGATTATTAAGGAAAAGCTGATCTTAGAAAAAGCTTTGAGACTAACAGCAAATTCAAATGTTCTGTAAAGACATCCAAAATAAATATAATGTTTTGACAAAGCTATTTCTAGAGTATAGAGTCCTACCAATCAACATTTTCACAACATAGGAACATTTTATAAAAAATTATATTTGTTCACCTACTTTTTCTAGGAAGAATGGCCCCAATAATTTTTAAGAAGAAACATATTTTTTCACAGAAATTGTTATTCACTCATCTTCTATTGTAAAAAAAGCTTTCCCGAGTCTCTCAAGATGTAGTGAAAGCAGGTAAAGAGATGGAGACTATACTTAATTAAATTGCATTTTCTAAAAATAAATCGATGAATGTTGAACTTTGATTGTCTTCCTTTCACTCCTTTTATCAAGTTTTCCAAGTATTTTCTACCAAGGATTATGGTGCTCCTGTTGTTTTTAATTGAAGTACCTTTGAGAACGGGGGCTATCTATCTTTAATGTACTTCAGAAGATTAGAAAACATGGCACAGTTGTAGGAAAAATCTTAAGCACTTTCATCAAAGCCTTAATTAAATGAGTAATATGGCTTCTTATTTTAAAGGTCCTCGCAGGCCACTATAATCCATTAAGAGATGATTTTGGTCTTCTTGCTTGAAATAAATCCATATCAACCAGGATTCTAGTTTCTACAAATAGTTGTTTGTTCAACTTACTTAAGCCAGTCATAGTGCAATGGCCAAGCAATGCATGCAGGACGCTCTGAAGCACACATTCAAAGTAAACAGCAGAAAGAAAATAAAAAGGTACAACTAGAGTTGCAGAGAAAAGCAAAAGTAAGGTGGACACAGAATGCCTGCAATGGCATATTGGAAAATGGAGAAGGTCAATCTCGTTCATTTCCTCATGCCTTTTATCTTTATTTTCTCATAAAACTATACAAAGCTTAATAGGAAATTGTGGCCTTTCTCAGTTTAGCTAACAGAAGTGGGCATTTCTCATGCTATTGGACTCAATAGTATCAGAGTAAATAAGAACCTTAACAGTGTATTTTGTGAATGTCATAATTTCAGAAGTGCATGTACCTTCCATCCAAGAAACAAATTGAAAGACACATTCAAAATTCTTACCATAAACACTAATCAGTATCCTCTATCTCCGTGCAAATGATACTATTTTTCTTCAACTGGTAAATACATCAAATTTATTTGTAGTACACAATTATAAGGCTATGTTTATTTAAGCATCAGACATTTAATTTAAAAATTAATTTATATATTTCATTTTCTTGATTGTGCCTGATATATATATTGTTGCAGTTTGGAAATTTGTAGTTATTATGTAAAAAGAAGATGGAAAATGCCACATCTCCTACCCCTATCAATTACCTGTTATTCAGACTGTTTTCTAATCAATATTCTATTCATCATTATCATTAAAGAGAAGTGGCATGCATTCTCTTGAACTGAAAATTATATTGGAACATATTAAAAATAGATGTATGTATATGGCAATGAAACATAATAGCAGCCCTATTACTCATAGTTCATGGATGTCAGTGTGCTGTCACACATATTTAGGAGATGAGAACTTGCTGTTAAAGTTTCCCACACATTTAAAGTTTTCATATATAGCTATTTTGAAATTCCTCACATACATCTCTAGTTTCAAGAGAGCTTTCAGCTCTAAAGGGTCTGGTTATATTCATTTAACATGTGACTGTCTGGGCCCCTGAGAGCCTTCCATAATATGGTATGTGTCTTTTTTAGCAAAGAAAGATGATAAACTCTTCTAGAGCCAAATGCTGTCTGGAAGTTGAGAATGCCAAGAGCACAGCACCCTCTTTCCATTTAAAAAATCCTTTTCAGGATGTATACTTTTCTCTTTTTAAGATCAATTTTGAAGTGATGTTAGTCTTGTAGAGAAGTTATAAACTGTCACGCCCATAGGCAAAAGGAACAAGACCCTTGGGCAAGTCATTTAACTTCAGGTAAAATATGACCTACTTTTCAGAATTAATTAGCCAAATAATGGATGCAAATATCCAGCATAGAAATGGATCAGATCCTCCAGACAAATAGTACAGAACATGCACTGCAAAACTCCAGCCATTCATATAGTCCATAATACAATGGTGTCCCCTAGAATGCGTCAGGCAGCCTTGTTACAGGTAGTGATTATTATTTTGGCTTTGAAAATTGACCAGGCATTAACTTCAAAGACGAAGGACAAAATGGAAGTGTATCTAGCTTTTCAGAAGAATCAGTTTCATGACTAACCTGGCAAAGATTGATCAAAGATGATTGTCATCCCTTACTCATCATCCTCTGTCTATCCTTGGACATCTTCTTCTTCTTTTTTTTTTTTTTGAGATGGAGTCTTGCTCTGTCACCGATGCTGGAGTGCAATGGCTCACTGCAACCCCACCTACTAGGTTCAAGTGATTCTCCTGCCTCAGCCTCCTCAGTAGCTGGGTCTACAGGCACCCGCCACCATGCCCAGCTAAGTTTTGTATTTTTAGTAGAGATGGGGTTTCACTATGTTGGCCAGGCTGGTCTCGAACTCCTGACCTCGTGATCCACCCACCTCGGCCTCCCAAAGTGCTGGGATTACAGGTTTGAGCCACCACACCCAACCTCGACATCTTCTTCACATAAGACTTTGGAGTCCTGGGTACAGAAACCAGGTATGCACGAAATAGTTAATTGAGTTTTCTTGAATTATTATTATAGGCTCCTTGTTTTTCCTTTATATTGGAAAACATACAACAGTAATTATCTTTATTGACACAAAAATCATTATCACCAATTGAGATGTATTGGTAAAAGGACAATATACATACACATATGGACAAAACATGTCAGCAATAAGAGGCTATATATTAATCTTAAGTTATAAGGTAAGATTTAAGGTCTACTCATTAAAAATATTAGGGGAAACCTTGTAATTTGAATTGGAGTTAATATAATTTAGTACTTTATTTATTATCTACTGTATTTCAGGAAGATTTCAAATGGTTTATAAACCATTATTAATCATTAATAGTTATTAATTGTGTAGTTTCTCTGTATTTTTTTGTTGTTTGTTTTCCACAGGAGGCAGAATAAGAAAGGGAAACATGTAATTACAATAATCAGGCAATTGGTTATTTTTAAAAATTTCCATCAGAGCCAATTTTCATGTGCTTATTTTTGGATATATTAATTGGCTCATTATTTTTACATTTACAATATCTCCATCACAATTTGGTGTTTTTTAATATACATAGTCTATCCTTGAAATTATTCTAATAAGTTGGTAAAAATGTCTAAACCTAGATTCTACTTGGATAAAAAAGCAATGAAATTCTTACTCCCAAATTAAAATTTCTGAATTTTAAGTGCCCCAGTGATGGAACAGGGAGTGGTTTTCCAGTCCCTCAAAAGTATGCCTAATTGTTCAATGCTCTTCACCCAGACAAATTGGAGAACAAGTCAATCTGTCACTCAGATTGCTCAGGTTCTACCATGTCTACTGTGGCTGCAGCTTTTGTTTAAGGGATGTGCTAACGTCATTGTGAAACAATAACTCTACAATTGTTCCCACTAGTGAGATTCTGCAAACGTTTTAATTACCAACAAAAGTAGTACAAATTCAAAGCGATTTTAATGACTCCAAATTTGAGTTTTGAAGAGCTTTATGGTTCATTCATGTTTAATACAGTTTATGGCTTATTTGTGGGATTTCAAGCCTTCAAAACACTTTTGTTTTTACTAAAACAACAATATTTTCATTTTCAACCCAAAACTGCAGAATTCTAATCCTACATTTCTGTAGAAGCTGAGGTTTAACACATGATGAATTCAATAGCAAATATTTAAGGTGGCTAAACCTTAATGTTGGCTAGGGGGTCATTAAAGTATGTGGGTGTGGATAGCTTAATATTGAAGACCATGAATGAAAGAACATGAAATTTATATTAACTATCAAAATCAACTAAGAAGAAGAGCAAAGAAAAACATCCACCATCATCTCACCAGTTCCTAAGCACAGTGAACCTGCCTCTTCGTCAACCATTCCTTTTCTCTATCTCAGCTACCTCAATGCCACGTAACTGAGTTTCTAAGTCAGGGCATCGTCCTCGTGTGTTTCTGCCATTACTTGCCCTTGGTTCTATTGTTCTGCATGTGCTCTCCATACAAATATTTCTCATTAGTAAAATAACTGAACTTAATGGTACCATGAGATGGACTATGGGAATGGACTACCAATCATTTCATGCCAACTCTTCAAGGACAGCTAAGATCCTTGACTTCTCAGATTTTTTTTTTTACATAAAAATTTCAAGTGTGATAGAGGATTAGCCTTATTTTATATATTTTATATATTTATATATATTTTATGCCTGATCACATTATATAGACTACACTATTTCACACTTGGCTTAAGCATCTAATACACAGTGACATTTTTCTAAAGATAATCTTGTGAATAGTAATTCTGTTTTTCTTTAGTGAGGATTTTACAATATATAACACATCGTCATGAACCATATATAAAAGCCAGATAATTTTTATCCTGAAATTTAGCCTGAACAATAACTTGGGGCATGGTAAAAATATAATTAAAATACATAGTATTACTTATTAATGGTTTTCTACAAAACCAGGATGTATTCTTCATTATCAGATGATTCTTTCATATTTTGAGAGTTTTGAGTCACAGTAAGATGAGTGTAGAAGGATAAATTTCCTCCATTAGCAAATATAATATCACTTAAAGAGTATAGTCCTGAAATTTCCAAGTGGCATACTGGAAGTAATATAACCTATATAATTTATCTCTGACAATAACCAAGTAGAGGAGAAGCTTTAGTCTGCCCTGTGCAATATGGTAGCCATTAGCCATGATATAGCTGGCCAAAATTGAGATGTCTTGTAAATGTAAAATACACACTGGATTTCAAAGACTGGTACAGAAAAAAAACAACGTAAAATATTTCATTAATAATTTTCATATTGAAGACATGTAAAAATGATATTATATATAGATTAGTTTAATCGAAAATATTAAGATTAATTTCTCCTCTTTCTTTTTACTTTTTTAATGTAGCTGCAAGAAAATTTAAAATCACACACATGACTTGCATCCTATCTGTATTGGACAGCACTGCCATATAAAAAGACAAAATCTAGTGACACATCTGAGTCTATAATAAATGATACCAAAGAGAGCAATTTCTTAAAATACATTTATTGAATTTGTTTCAGAAACCCTACTTATGCCTTTAATAAGTTATAGTTTTCCAGGAAATATGTATACTAAAAGATACTCTGCTGCTTGCTGAAGCCATAACTGGTTTGATTGCTCCAACACTGGAAACCTAATGACAAAACTCTATGACTGCTGGCAATAACACACAGCAATCTTTTTAATCATATCTCAATTAGCTTCAGAAGTTTCTCATTTCAGCGCTCCCAGGGGTCTCATTGCTTGTCTTTTTCACTTGAGATAAACAAAATCATCTGTCTTATATTCATCTCCAATATTTGTTTTTTTGTTGTGGTGGTGGTGATCTTAATAAGCTGCATTTGCTGATAGGACTGTCAGCTGCAAACATCCTTGCTGATGCACAAAATGTCTTATTCCACCAGAGAACAACTGAAATTACTCCCTGGCTGTGCAGCAAGGAGCCGGCCTCCTACCCAGCATAAATTTGCAGGGACATGTGGACATCACTTTGGAAAACTATAGGACAAGGGAGATGTGATTTGCAGCATTTTTTCTCTCAGAATAGAAAGCTGGGAAAGCTGCATCTACCTATGATGGGAAACATTTAGAGATTTACTTCTTTTTTCTTTGCTTCGAGTGGATGAAGGCATATGCTATTTATTCTTTCATTTTTGCATTTATCAGTCACATCTATTGTGTGAAGGTGCTGGGAATACAGAGATGAAGAATATTGTATCCATGCCTTTAAGCATTTCACACCCTAAGTCACTTTCATTATTACATATATATACTGTCATTTTTTTTCTCAAATTAGTTAGATTTTCAGAATTGATCTTCAAGGCTAATAAGGAGGGACAGATCTGCTTCAAAAAATAAAAATGCCTTAATATGGCCCTTTCTTCCCTTTATAACTAGGCTTCCTTTATGTGAATATTCCATATTTGTATACAATTCACGCTCACATCCATATCTATAATCCACTCATATCTAGATGTACAATGGATGCCCATATCTGCATGTATATCTATACTCCATACTTAAAATATACAGCACATACACATGACTGAAAAAGTGAATACTTTAGTAACTATCCTTAGTATATACAATACATTTGATATAATTAATATTCCTTAGAATAGACGCTTGGTTTGCAAAGTCCTGTAATTAGAAAGCTAACACAATGGTGGGTTTGTGAAGGAGATAGAACCACCAAGCTAATTTCCAGCAGTCTGGAATGTTCCATGACAACCGTCCTTCCATTCAGAAGCTAGGTGCTCTGTTCAGGGCTAAAAGACTCAGTAAGCTTCCTACAGATTCTCCCCATAGACATCATTGCCACGGTGAGGAGCAATCTGGCAAGACCTCAAAAACACATGAGAGTTTTGTGATGTAGTGTGGCTACCATATTCCTGTTGGAAAAAGAATTCAGATCCAGAAAGAGCCATAAAAGCTAACTCACTTGTCAACTGGTCCTAGCACTATCACTGACTACAGACGATGGCCCTCTTCATTTTCTCCCTAGTACTGTAATGCAGGGAATGAGCACCCCTACAATCTTCGGTAACCTTTTCCTTCATTGTATCCCACTGTATCCCACACTCCCTCATGACAAAGCCCTGTGGACCACAGAGCAACTGCACAATCTAAATGCAGTTTGCTTCTCTAGCTTTCATTTTTGTCCTGATCTTTCAAGAGGAATGCTGTCAACATATCATAATGCGCCCTCAAGTTTTACCACAAATTGCACATTCCAGCAAGGGGTGAGGTCCTGTTTTATTTCTTCTACCAGCCACCTGCATTTAGTAAGTCACTCCTAGGTCATCAACTTTTTGCTTCAAGAAAGGCCGCAGTTAAAAACTCTCAAGTTCTGAGGACAAGGTTTGAAGGCTGCCAAAACAAGAAATGGTTTTACTCCCTCTCCAGCCTCTCCATGCTTACTTCTTTTTCTAGTTGACTATTCAACCTGAAAAGCTAGTGAGCAATATAATTAACTCAGTGTGCTCTAAAAACTAATGAAAACCTTAGACACTTTAGGGAGCCTTCTGAAGCACATATCAACCAGAGGAGCCATCAGATGTTTTGTTAAATGTGATCTCATGCAGTCTAGGCCAATTAGTTATAATAAATGGCACAGAGCAGGGACTAGGCTCTGGGGGAGGGCCATGCCAGTGACATCTCTGCTGGGGAAGCAGGAGGATTATCATAAATCCATTCAGGAACTAATATGCAATGAAACAGCAACAAGGACATTTGTAGAGTTTTGCAATTTGATATTGAAAATCAAAAAGCAAGTGAGAGTGTGAGTATGATTTATTAAGGTCAAATTGTTATTTTTTCCATCCAGTGCTATTTATAAAACAGCTAGAACATTCCTTAATATATTCAACTGTCTTGTTCCTCCTAAGAGCACTGTCTCCTGCACTTGATGAGTGTCTGGTATAGGAGAGGACCTGGTAGGAGTTTTGGGAGAGAAATCAGAGAAAGTTGATGTGAGCTCTGTATTCTAGATGGTGAGGGAAGCCATCAAGCAACTTATGATGAAGTGAACATTTTATTAACACATATCTTACTTACAGAAAGATCACATCAGTATACGGGTAAATGAGCAGGCCTGTGTGACCAGCACCCAGGGCAAGAAGCAGAATATTACCAATGCCACAAACACTCCCTTCCCAATCATCAGGCCCCTGACTTCCAGCAGAGATTGTTAAAAATTTAACTTTCTGTAAATAAGCTCAGACAGCATGGATGCTTCAGTGTACTATTCTTGTATTTGCCATTGTTTATGAGATGTATCCATTTTTTTCTCTTCTTGCATATGGCAACTGTTTTTCCCATTCTTATTTCTGTTGGTATTCCACTGAAGGAATACACCCCATTTACTTTGTGTTGTTCCAGTTTGGGCTAATTTGAATAGTACAGCCATGTGCACACATATGTAAGCATTTATGTTGAGTATATATCTAGAACTAGGATGGTTGAATCATAAGCTATGCTATATTTAGCTTTAGTAGATCCTGTCCAATAGTTTCCCAAAATGGTTGTACCAATTTCTACTTTGCTGTAAATTGAGAATTCCGGTTGCTCCTCAACCCTGCCAACTCTTGATGTTATCTAAGATGACACGTACCTTGAAAGACATAATGTTATTTTTCTTTTAGGCATTTGGATGAGTATACAGTGGTGCAATTACTGAGGTTTTCATTGATACTTCTCTCATGACCAATGACTCCTTGTACCTTTATGTAAGTTTACTGCTGTTTGGATATTTGAGCTCATGGTACATTATAAAGGAGTATGTCAACATAGAGCACCTAATGCTGTGAATCTCTTCTAGGCTGAACAAAAACAGATTGTGTTTATTGCTCCTCTGAGAATGTGGTCTGATGCATTTCCCAACCTTGATGGCTCTCTCCTGGACTCTTTTAGAATCTCAATGTCCTTGTAGAGCATTGCCCACTGAATTTTCCTCTGGGTGTAGGTTAAGCTACACAGAGAAGAGAGCAGGACTCTATTTAAGACTATTAGACCCTCTATTTCTATTAACAGATCAAGTAGCAAGGCAGATATAAGCAGTTCCATATCATCCTCTTACTTTGTTTCAATCAGCCTTTAAGGATTTATTATTTTTATTCTACTAATACTTAATACTTAGACTCTGCACTAATACTAAAAAAAGCTATACTTACATCTATTCATTCAGCAACCATTAGTTGTAGACTGATTATGACTCATACACTTCTCTGGATATTGCTGATCTAGAAAAGCAAAGTCCATGCCTCAACATACAATAAATTAATAAAGAAAATAAGGCTGGGCGCAGTGGCTCACGCCTGTAATCTCAGCACTTTGGGAGGCCGAGGTAGGCGGATACACCTGAGGTCAGGAGTTCGAAACCAGCCTGGCCAAAATGGTGAAATGCTGTCTCTACTAAAAATACAAAAATTAGCCAGGCATGGTGGTGGGTGATTAAAGTCCCAGCTACTTGGGAGGCTGAGGCTGGAGAATGACTTCAACCCAGGAGGTAGAGGCTGCAGTGAGCTGAAATTGTACCACTGCACTCCAGCCTGGGCAACACAGTGAGACTCTGTCTCAAAAATAAATAAATAAATAAATAAGATAACATAAGATAAAATAAGGCTGGGTATGGTGGCTCACACCAGTAATCCTTTCACTTTGGGAAGCCAAAGTGGGTTGATCACTTGAGCCCAGGAGTTCAAAACCAGCCTGGGCAACATAGTGAGACCCTGTCTCTACAAAAAATAAAAATATATATATATAATAATAAAAAAAGCATTTAGCCAGGCGTGGTGGTAGGCCTGTATTCCCAGCTACTTGGGAGGCTCAGGTCAGAGAATTACTTGATCCCGGGAAATTGAGGCTGCAATGAGCCATGATTGGGCCACTGAACTCCAGTCTTACTGACAGAGAAAGACCCTGTCTCAAAAAACAAACAAACAAACAAACAAACAAAACCAAAAAGATAACTTGAAATAGTGAGACTCTGAAGAAAGCGAGTCTGCAAAAATGGATGAACAGTGTTGGTACAGGAAATGAGAGTGCAATAATTTTTACAGAGGGTCAAGGAAGCTTCTCCACAGAGGTAGATTGAAGCTAAAACCCAAGTGTTTAAAAACAAAACCAAAAATACCCCAGCAAGGTGTTGATGGGAGTGAAGAGGGTTTCAGCTGGAGGGAACGGCAAATGTCAAGGTCATAAGGACACAGTCACAGCAAACAGGCTAGAGGGGATAGTGACTCTCTCTGTGAAGCAGCCAGGAAGGAGGATACCTGGTTAGGAATGTTTAGCAGCGAGTTCACAGAAGGGAGGCTTTGTAAGCCATGGAGAGGAGTTCAGATTTTATATTTGTAAAATAAGAAGACCAAGGAGGGCCTCAGACAGGAAAGTGACACATCCTGATATTTAGTTTTAAAACAGGGTTGGCAAACTGGCCAAATGGCTGGCCATCAGTTTGTGTAAATAAAATTTTATTGGAATGCAGCTATGCACTTTCCTATGCACAAACCAGTTTGTGGCTGGTTTCATGCTTGGTTTTGTGGTTTCATGTTATAACATCAGAGATGAGTAGATGTGATTTAGATAATATGGCCCACAAGCCCAAAACATTTATTATCTTCCCTTTAAGAGATCACTATGGCTGTTTATAAAACATAAACCACGGGGAAGGGCAAGAGTGTAAGCTGGGAGACCACTCAGGAGATTATTTAGTGGTCCAGGAAAGAGATGATGTGGGCCAGATAGGGCAAATGGGGTGGGGAGTGATGAAATGTGGATAGATTGTGGGGAGATTGTGTAATCAAATCTATAGAAGAATTACAGACAGAAAGAAAAATGCAATATTCTGTAGCCAGTGGTCAGTTTAAGCTCTTCTACAATTCCTGAACAGAGTCCATATTTGAAAGCTTTCAACTTTACATGGTAAGAGCAGTATATTTTAGTGGAAAATATTATTACTATTATCTTCAGAGTTACACATCTCTCTGATTACAGTAATCGACTTAGGTGCTCCACAAAATGAAATCACATGCCAGTAGGTAAAATGCTTGCCTTCTCTTTTCAGTGTCACTGTGTCAGTAAATATTTGTTCCTTAAAACCTTTTCCCAAGACTGTCCCCAATATTCAATTATGCATAAAACAATGAGTAAATGGAGCCCTATTTATATAAATATATCAACATATAAACTCCAGCTGATTTTGCAAACAAGACTTTTCTCTCATCAACATTATCCTGCAAGAAAATAATTTCAGGGAGCAAGTCCATTTGGGCATCCCTTACACTGAGCATGCTAATGAGGAGGCCATCAGCCCAAAGCCTCTTACAGGTGGAAGACATTAAGTTCTAGTCCTAAGTGGGTAGTTGTCCTTGTATTGGAAGAATGTGACTCTTGATGAATGGGAAGATGGAGGCCATTGTGCAGGGATAACTACAAAAAAGAAATTACTTAGCTAACCACAGAAAAATTCCAGGCAGGGGGCGGGCATTCCAATTGCCCATCCTCAAAAAGGTGGGAGGACAGAGGACACTGGATGATTCCCAAGGAACTAAAACAGGTTTAGAAAAAAAGTGGAGATGTTACAGATTTGCAGATCTACATACATCTGACCTTAGAAGGGTTATGAAATTTTCTCTGACATACCCCGAGGGAAGGAAAATAGGATTTTAGATTAGGTTTTACAAACCCCTACTCTGTAATATGTGGACAAGGTCAACACATTCAAAACTGTTTGGATGAACTTTTTCACATCTGGTTTGGGTTAGGAAGGTTATTGGCCAGGGAGTTTCAAACAAGGTGGAAACTTGAAGCCAATTTTATGGGTGTAAACTGAAACTGACAAAGAGCTATTTCAAACAGTCTGCTAGGAAGCAGGGAGAACCTCCGAAAGGACTGACATGAATGCACAGACGTAAATATGTCACCATGTTCGATACACGAATCAGAGAGCTCAAACAGTGCCACCAAGAAGAAAAATAAATAGCCTCCATAAGTGGGCATTTGCTTGATATGTGTGTGTGTGTGTGTGTGTGTGTGTGTGTGTGTGTGTGTGTGTGTGTATGAAGGAAAAAGTCTTTATTTTGCATCTGATTGCATTTGTTGTCCTCCATGAAGTGAATGATAGCTATGGATATCTAAATATAAATTAGATGAACTTTAATTGGGCCACTACATTTTCAGTGGGACAAAATGAAAGCATTCTAATTAATACAGACCCATTGTTAAAGTCTGTCTTGTTTTCTATTGGCCAAAAATTTACTGACTTGCTAGATTATCTAAAGAGACAAAATAAAGTGAATGTATTTTATTATCCATTCACCAAATTATTTAATAGTGCATGTGTGGAAAACACTGATTTTCTTCTTTTTATTTTTGGTATTTTTGGTATTTTACAAATGGCTAGTTTTAAAAACAAATCATCTATTGGATATAGATGCTTTGTTAACAAATTAATAGGGACAAAGAGGAAACATAAAGTACAACAACTTAATGACTCTAATATTGATGATTATTGGTAATGCACAGTCTTGGGGCTGTATAAACTGTAAACTGCATCAAGATGAACTGACCAAATCTTTACCGGGCATGGGGGCCCTCTGAGAAATCTACTCTCTCTATTTTTTTGGAGTAAAATTTTCTACTCTTTTTTATTTCAAGCTCTATAATCTAAATAACTAGATTTAGCAGGTTAGAAAGGGTCTGAGAAGCATTCTTTTGTTTATTTGATATTTCTCCCTCTAATTCTGCTTTTAGGAGAAAGGGAGTTTCATCATAAGTGGCTGGCTTATTATGTTGGTTCTTGATAAATCTTTTTAAGGCCTTACAACCAAGAGTAAACTCAAAGACTACTAAGAGCATGAGATAAAGATGATTTTTGTCTTTGTGATACTTAAAAACAATTAAAAAACAGCAAAAACACTACATGGCCTTCTCCCAATAATGTTAGCTGTTCTTCCACTCACTGAATATTATTTGATTTTGCTCACAAGTTTTAAGGATATTTGAAATTTTGATTCTACTCTTCAAGGTAATTTTATAACTTAAAGTCAATTAAAAATGACTAAACCTAGCTTCTTTAGGTAAACAACACAGGATTTAAGACTGAGCATTGAACTGTATAGGTTACATCATTATTGATCAAATCTTGCCTTTGAGTGCACAGAAGGCACTTTTTTTTAAATGTTAGGTTTCACAGAGATACAATTAGTTTCATTCTCTATAGCACCTTAAATCCATGAGTGCAACAAGAGCAAACATTTTAGAGAAGATGATAAAATCGTTCTCATTTATACGGATGTAACATCTCTAAGGGATGGATTTTCATCATACTGCTATGAAATCAAGATAAATTGTGCATCAATGAATGATCGCACCTTTAAAGTGATATGCCAAGGATGCACAATTTTAGGTAAATAAATCTCAGTAAGTGATCCAAAAGTATAACAAAATGTACCAGGGAAAAGAAATACAACATAATATTAGAGAAAAGGTGTGTTGAATCTTTATTTCTCAGATTACTTCTAAATCTGGGCATTAATCACCAAAAAACGATCACCTAAATTGAAGTCTGGTGATAACAGAAATTGATGTCTTTGAGATCATGGCAAAATATAATTTCTCTGTTGTACCAGAAATTTTATTTAGAAACACTTCATTAAAACAAACATATAAGATGAAGAATTCACTGTTTTTGCTTCCTGAAACAGAATCTCACGAGAAAGTATAAGATAGAAGTAATCAAACAGTCTAACCACAGGATTTGCTGATTTCATCAGCAGAAATGATCAACAAATAGCTTTTGCTGAGAGTCACAGTAAATTCAGAAGAACAAAATTACATGCTTTAATTTTGTTTAAATGATGAATCAAGAAGAACATTAGTAACAAACTCCCCCTGAAAGCAATACATCTTCAAACTGAAAGTGTGTACCTGTGATGCAAACCAAATCTACTATAAGCAACTGCTGTCCCTACATGGGAAAATTTAGTCAGGGAATCTGAAGCTAGCATGGCCAGTACCATCGGTAAAAGCTTATGAAAATAAGTTATTATTTACTTGTAGTAAAAAAAAAATAGCCATTAAACAAGCTTAGCATCTCCATTCACCATTAAAAATCCTCTTTTAATTTTTTTCATGATGATATCTTAAGCCCTAAAAATTACAGGTGCTTCACCCTTAGGAGTAAAACACAAATATGAACCATTCAAACACCTGGGTCTGTCTCTGTTCAACCTTAACAAGGTTGATCCGAATTGCTGGGAAAGACAGAGAGATCTTTATTATCAACACATACAACTAGGTTGATAGGATTTTTTTGAACTAAATACACATTTTCCTTGCTACCTCTGACTTTCTTATTCAACAATCTTCTATTCCATGGATATTTCACCATCCTCTACACCCACACTCAAAAAAATTGTGAAATCTGGTTGGAATAAAAAGCCAGAAAATAGTACCTTTGTATAAAACTGCTTTGGTTGACTACAGGTAGCAGATGTGGATGAAGAAGTCTATCAGTTATCCATGGCTGGATAACAAATGACACCAAAAGACAGTAGCTTAGAACAAGATTCCTTATGCCACAGTTCCTATAGGTCAGAAATTTTAGTGTGGCTTAGTTGACTCCTGCGGCTCTGGGACTCTCGCCAAGCTGCAGTTATCTGAAGGCTTGGCTTGGAAGCAGTTTTTGCAATCTGATGTGAAATCATATACTGCTCCTTTTGCTGTACATCCTTCATTAGAAGTGAGTTGCTAGGTAAGACCATCCTTAAAGTAAGGGGATTACAGCAGGGTATGCACACCAGGGTACAGAGATCACGAAAAGACACATCAGAAACTGCCTCCCATAGGAAACATCAGCATCAAAACACAAGTAATGCATCCTGGATGCTCCAGAACAAAGGCTGGCTTTCTGCAAATATGTTCTCATCTTCATCAGTAAAACCTGTAGCAATATCAGCTCTACCTACAACAATGCACTGTTGGTAGGTAAAAGAGGCAAGGGGATTTTAAAAAGTAAAGCATCCTTATATTAAGAAAGTAATTACCAAGATTATTGCCATTGAGCTAAATGTTGTCAAATAGAAATGTATGTTATGGGTTGAATGGTATTCTCCAAAAATATATGCTGGGGTACTAACCCCTAATACCTGTGAATGTGATTTTATTTGAAAATAAGGTCTTCACAGACACAGTCAAGTTAAGATGAGGTCATGGGGGTCTCAAGTGGCAGGGAGTGGCTAATCCAATATGACTAGTGTCCTTACAAGAAGAGGAGAAGAGACACCCAGGAAGAGGGACAGGCAATGATGGAGGCAGAGATTGGAGCGATGTGTCTACAAGTCGAGGAATACCAAGAATTGCAGGAATGGAACAGAGGGAACAGATTCACCACTAGTGACTTTAGAGAGAGCCTGGCCCTGTCAACATCTTGATCTCAGACGTGCAGCTATAAGAACCATGAAAGAATAAATTTCTGTTTTAAGCAACCCAGTTTGTAGTACTTTGCTATGGTAGTCCTAGGAATTGAATACAATATGTAAGTCAGAAAGCAAAGTAACAATTTTCCTGATGCTTCTTTGATATTTGAAATAAAAATCTTTATGCCAGCCATATGGGGACTCTTCAATGATAGGTAAACAGACAAATTACATTTATTAAAATAAGAGGATGGGGGCACTAGTAAGACTTAGGTCTTACTAATCTAAGGGCTAATACATACACTTCGTTCCTTTAAATTAAACAAATTAATTTAAATACTTAAAAATCCAGTAAAATTTGGAAGTATTTGTCATATTACTCTTGTTTGGGTTTGATGCTGTTTCTGGTAATAGTGTCTCAATAATTATTTAGTTACTTAATAAATACCGGTGAATGAAATATAATATTGTATGTAGAACCTAATTACAAGTATATATAAAAGGAACCTCTACATATAAAAATATTCAGGCATGATTAATGAAAGGTTAAAATGGCCATAATTGAAGGATTATTCTACATTAATATTATCCCTTAATCTTTAAACTTTCCTTTTTTGCATATTTACTATTTATTAAGAATACCATAAAACAATGTTATTTATTAAAGTACTTAAGTGAAGCTATTTAAAATCATTTATCTGCTGTATATTGTCAAAAATTCCAAGACACTGAATAATGAGTAAGGCTTAGAGGATTATCTTAAATATTAAAAATCTGAAAACATTACTTAGAATTTTTCAAAGCAAATGCATATTCTAATATTTATTATTTTTCTTTTTCACCCTTTCCATCGGTGTTTTGACTATGTGGCCACAAAAATCGCATAAGTAGCAAAAGATTGCCTTAATATGTGGATGTCATGATCAATATTATTAGACAGAAAGAAACACAGACATACATGTATACTATTAAGTTACTTAAAGCTGATTATCTCTCGATACCACAGACACATAAGGACTAAGGAATGATTTAATAGCCAAAATAGCAGTAAATCAAAACCACATTTAATAATATTTTTGCTCTTAGAAAAGTAAACAGGTGTGGCTTTCTTGCAACTGTGCTGTCTGACTAAACACACGGGCAGAATTTCATCCTAATACTTCCAGCTGTGTTAAGACCATCTGTTCATCCTTTTTAATTTTAATTAGTACTGGAGACTCTTTATTTCATCAATCTCATCAGCAAATTTGTGTTTGCATTTTGCCACACTTATGGATAAGAAGAAACAAGTCTGAAGTAATCAAAATTCTAACAATTCATCCCTTCTCTTAGTTTTACTTTAATCAGCTACTCTAAAAGCAAATAAAGTTGTTCCTTTTAATAATAATAGTTGTTTTCAGACTTTAAACCAACAAGATCAAAAAAGCCAAAGAAGGGCATTACATAATGGTAAAGGGATCAATTCAACAAGAAGAGCTAACTATCCACCCAATACAGGAGCACCCAGATTCATAAAGCAAGTTCTTAAAGACCTACAAAGAGACTTAGACTCCCACACAATAATAGTGGGATACTTTAACAACCCACTGTCAATATTAGACAGATCAATGAGACAGAAAATTAGCAAGGATATTCAGAACTTGAATTCAAGCTCTGGACCTAGCGGACCTAATAGACATCTACAGAACTCTCCATCCTAAATCAACAGAATATACATTTTTCTTAGCATCACATAGCACTTATTCTAAAATTGACCACATAATTGGAAGTAAAACACTCCTCAGCAAATGCAGAAGAATGGAAATCATAACAGTCTCTCAGACCACAGTGCAATCAAATTAGAACTCAGGATTAAGAAACTCACTAAAAACTGCACAGCTACATGGAAACTGAACAATCTGCTCCTGAATGATTACCGGGTAAATAATGAAATTAAGGCCGAAATAAATAAGTTATTTGAAACCAATGAGAACAAAGACACAACGTACCAGAATATTTGGGACACAGCTAAAGCAGTGTTTAGAGGGATATTTATAGCACTAAATGCCCACATGAGAAAGTGGGAAAGATCTAAAATTGACACCCTAACATCACAATTAAAAGAACTAGAGAAGCAAGGACAAACAAATTCAGAAGCTAGCAGAAGACAAGAAATAACTAATATCAGAGAAGAACTGAAGGAGATAGAGACAGGAAAAACCCTTCAAAAATCAATGAATCCAGGAGCTGTTTCTTGAAAAGATTAACAAAATAGATGGACTGCTAGCCAGACCAAAAAGAAGAAAAGAGAGAAGAATCAAATAGACAAAACGAAAAACTGATAAAGGGGATATCATCACTGATCCCACAGAAATACAAACTACCATCAGAGAATACTACAAACACCTCTATGCAAATAAACTAGAAAATCTAGAAGAAATGGATAAATTCCTGGACACATACACCCTCCCAAGACCAAACCAAGAAGAAGTCAAATCCCTGAATAGACCAATAACAAGTTCTGAAATTGAGGCAGTAATAGCCTACCAACCAGGACCAGACAGATTCACAGCCAAATTCTATCAAAAGTACAAAAAGGAGCTGGTACCATTCCTTCTGAAACTACTCCAAACAATAGAAAAAGAGGGAATCCTCCCTAACTCATTTTATGAGGCCAGCATCATCCTGATACCAAAACCTGGCAGAGACACACAAAAAAAGAAAATTTCAGGCCAATATATCAGATGAACATCAATACGAAAATTCTCAATAAAATACTGGCAACCCAAATCCAGCAGCACATTAAAAAGCTTATCCACCATGATCAAGTCGGCTTCATCCCTGGGATGCAAGGCTGGTTCAACATATGCAAATCAATAAATGTAATCCATCACATAAACAGAACCAATGACAAAAACCACATGATTATCTCAATAGATGCAGAAAAGGCCTTCATAAAATTAAACAGGACTTCATGCTAAAAACACTCAATAAACTAGGTATCAATGGATCGTATCTCAAAATAATAAGAGCTATTTATGACAAATATGCAACCAATATCATACTGAATGGGGAAAAGCTGGAAGCATTCCCTTTGAAAACTGGCACAAGACAAAAATGCCCTCTCTCACCACTCCTATTCAACATAGTATTAGAAGTTCTGGCCAGGGCAATCAGGCAAGAGAAATAAATAAAGCATGTTCAAATATGAAGAGAGGAACTCAAATTATCTCTGTTTGCAGATGGCACGATTGTATATTTAGAAAACCTCATTGTCTCAGCCCCAAAACTTCTTCACCTGATAAGCAACTTCAGCAAAGTTTCAGGATACAAAATCAATGTGCAAAAAACACAAGGATTCCTATACACCAATAATAGACAAACAGAAAACCAAATCATGAGTGAACTCCCATTCTCAATTGCTACAAAGAGAATAAAATTCCTAGAAATAAAACTGACAAGGGATGTGAAGGACCTCTTCAAGGAGAACTACAAACCACTGCTCAAGGAAATAACAGAGGACACAAACTAATGGAAAAACATTCCATGCTCATGGATAGGAAGAATCAATCGTGAAAAATGGCCATACTGCCCAAAGTAATTTATAGATTCAATGCAATTCCCATCAAGCTACCTTTGACTTTCTTCGCAGAATTAGAAAAAAGCTACTTTAAATTTTATATGGAACCAAAAAACAGCCCGTATAGCCAAAACAGTCCTAAGCAAAAAGAACAGAGCTGGAGGCATCATGCTACCTAACTTCAAACTATAATACAAGGTTACAGTAACCAAAACAGCTTGGTAATGGTACCAAAACAGATATATAGAACAATGGAATAGAACAGAGGTCTCAGAAAAATACTACACATCTACAACCATCTGATCTTTGACAAACCTGACAAAAACAAGGAATGAGGAAAGGATTCCCTATTTAATAAATGCCATTGGGCAAACTGAAACTGGACCCCTTCCTTACACCTTATACAAAAAATAACTCAAGATGGAATAAAGACTTAAATGTAAGACCTAAAACCATAAAAATCCTAGAAGAAAACCTAGGCAATACCATTAAGGACATATGAATAGGCAAAGAATTCATGCCTAAAACACCAAGAGCAATTGCAACAAAAGCCAAAATTGGCAAGTGGGATCTAATTAAACTAAAGAGCTTCTGTACAGCAAAATAAACTATCATCAGAGTGAACAGACAACCTACAGAATGGGAGAACATTTTTGCAATCTCTCCATCTGACAAAGGGCTAATATCCAGAATCTACAGGGAACTTAAACAAATTTACAAGAAAAAAATAATTAACCCCATCAAAAGTAGGCGAAGGATATGAACAGACACTTTTCAAAAGAAGACATTTAGGCACCCAACAAACATGAAAAAAAGCTCATCACTGGTCATTAGAGAAATGCAAATCAAAACCACAGTGAGATATCATCTCATGTCCATTAGTATGGCAATGATTAAAAAGTCAGGAAACAACCGGTGCTGGAGAGGATGTGGAGAAATAGAAATGATATTACACTAATGGTGGGAGTGTAAATTAGTTCAACCATTGTGGAAGATAGTGTGGCAATTCCTCAAGGATCTAGAACTAGAAATACCATTTGACCCAGCAATTCCATTAGTGGGTATAATCCCAAAGGATTATAAATCATTCTACTATAAAGACACATGCATACGTATGTTTATTGCAGCATTATTCACAATAGCAAACACTTGGCACCAACTCAAATGTCCATTAGTAATAGACTGGATAAAGAAAATGTGGCACATATATACCATGGAATACTATGCAGCCATAAAAAAGAATGAGTTCATGTCCTATGCAGAGACATGAATGAAGCTGGAAACCATCATTTTCAGCCAACTAACACAGGAACAGAAAACCAAACACTGCACGTTCTCACTAATATGTGGGAGTTGAACAATGAGAACATATGGGCACAGGGAGGAGAACATCACACACCAAGGTCTGTCAGGGGTGGGGGGCAAGGGGAAGGATAGCATTAGGAGAAATACCTATTACATGACTGGTTGATGGGTGCAGCAAACCACCATGGCACATGTATACCTATGTAACAAACCTGCACATTCTGCACATGTATCCCAGAACATAAAGTATAATTAAATAATAATAACTAAAAAATAATAGTTGTTTTCCATAAACTGAGTGAAATCAGCATCATGTTATAAAAGAGATGCCAGGAATTATTAGGCATATATTTAATAGATGATGCCATTTTTATCCACATATATTCATTCCACATGACTTTTTCTTCCCCTGCTTTTTGAAAACTCAATAGTAAGGATTACCCACTGTGAAGTCATTTCCATAATATTATAATTACATTCAAGGACATTCAGGTAGATTTTATTTACACACCTACATATTTATTTATTTTCCAACTTATTTACACTTAAATCAGAATTTTAAAGAAGACTCTAATTTTAAAAACCAAATAAATATGCTTTCATTATGAAGGTAAACTGGACCTTTTATTTATAGAATAACTACAGTACTCAAGTTGAACTATCTGCATTAAAAAGTAGATTTTTTTTTCTGGTCTTAAGCATTCAACTTTTTGTTACACTGTGTGTGTGTGTGTGCGCACCCATGCATCACATAACAAGGATGTTTTGAGTAATGCATCCTTAGGTGATTCTGTCCTTGTATGAACATCATAGTGTGTACTTACATAAACCTAGATGGTGTAGCCTACTACACACCTAGACTACATGGTATATAGCCTGTTGCTCCTAGCCTGAAAACCTGTACAGCATTTTACTGTACTGACTACTGTAGTCAATTGTAACATAATGGCAAGTATTTGTGCATCCAGACACAGAAAAGATACAGTAAATATATGGTATAAAAGATAAATAATAGTATACCTCTATACAGCACTTACCATGAATGGAGTATGAAGGACTGGAAGTTGATTTGGTGAGTCAGTGATTGAGGTATGAGTGAATGTGAAGGCCTAGGACATTACTGTACACTACTGTAAACTATAAACACTGTACACTTAGGCTATACTAAACTTACAAAGACTTATAAACTTTCTTTCATCAATAATAAATTAACCTTAGTTTATTGTAATGTTTTTATTTTATAAACCTTTTAACTTACTGACTCTTTTGTAAAATCACTTTACTTAAAACACAAAAACGTTGTACAGCTGTACAAAAATATTTTCTTTCTGTATATCCCAACTCTATATCCTTTTTTCTATTTCCTTTTTTTTTACATTTTAATTTTGTTTTTGTTAAAAACTACAACACAAACACACAGATTACCCTAGGCCTACACCTGGTCAGAATTATCAATATCACTGTCCTCCACTTCCACATCTTGTCTCACTGGAAGGTCTTCAGGGACAAGACCTGAAGCTGGCATGAAGCGGTCCTCTCCTATGACAATAATGCTTCTCCTAGAAGACCTCCTGAAGGACCTGCCTAAGGCTGCTTCACAAGTAACTTTTATTTTTTATAAGTAGGAGGTGTACGCTCTGAAATAATGATTAAAACATAGTATAGTAAATGCATAAATTAGTGACATAGTAACTTATTATTTTCAAGTAGTATGTACTGTATATAATTCTAAGTACTATACTTTTATTATACAACTGGCAGCAGAGTAAGTTTGTTTACGCCAGCACCACCACAAACACATGAGTAATGCACTGTGTTATGATGTTATGATAGCTATGAGTCACGAGGGGATACGAAAGTTTCAGCTCTTTTATAATCTTATGGTACCACCATTGTAGATGCAGTCCTTCATTGACTGAAACATCCTTATTCAATGCATGACTGTATATGATATCTAGAATAGACAGGGCTTCTCAAACTTTAATGTGCATACAGATCACACCTGGCAATCTTATCGAATACATTTCTAATTCTGTAGGACTGAGTGAGGCTTGAGATTCTGTATTTTTTTGGTTACACATACATTATTTAATCCTCATGATATGCCAATGTAGTTTAAAATAATCACCATTCCCATTTTGCACATGAGAAAATACAGAATTTAAGTAAAATGGTTCATAATCGCATAGCTTACAATTAAACTATTTCTCATATATTTCATATTCTTGAAACTGATATCTTTCTCTGTTTTCAACTTTTATTTTAGATTCAGAGGATATATGTATAAGTTTGTTACCTGGTTATACTGTGTGACGCTGAAGTTTGGGGTATGAATGATCCCATCACCCAGGTACTGAGAATAGTGCTCAGTCATTAGCTTTTCCACCGTTGCTTCCCTCCCTTCCTCCTTCCCTCCCCTCTTTAGTAGTACTCAGTTTCTATTACTGCCATCTTTATGTCCTCAAGTACCCAATATTTAGCTCCCACTAACAAGTGAGAATATTGGTTTTTGGTTTTCAGTTCCTGCATTAATTTTCTTAGGATAATGGCCTTCAGCTCCATCCATACTACTGTAAAGGACAGGATTTCATTCTTTTTATGGCTGTGTAGTATTCCACGGTGAATATGTACCATATTTCCTTTATCCAGTCTACCGTTGATGGGCATCTAAGTTGACTCCACGTGTTTGTTTTTGTGAATAGCGCTGTGATGAACATATGAGTGGATGTGTCTTTTTGGTAGTACTGAGATAGAAATTCAGCAGAACTAGTTTCCAAGACAACAGGTCACAAGACCGCACTGATAAGACAGGATACAGTAAAGAAATCAGCCTAAACCATCTGGAACCAAGATGGCAGCAAAACTGACCTTCATTGCTCCTTATATGCTAATTATACTGTATTTCCATAGTAAAAATATACCCCTGTCACCATGACAGTTTTTGTTTACCATGGCAACCACTGGAAAAGCCCTACATGATAAAGAAAAGGGACTGTTCCCTGGTTCCTGGAAATCACTGCATCTTTCCATGAAAAGCTTATGAATAACCCTCCCTCTAATTATGCATATTAAACATAGTAACACTGCCGACCTAAGACCCTCCCAGCATGTCTTCTCTCTGAGACTGCCTTGCTCCATCTGTGGAGAAGCACTCCAATAAACTTTACTTTGGCTTTCTCCTTGTGATTTGCTCCTGAATTCCTTCTTGTACAAAATCAAGAACCCATCTCCCATGACCCCCTCAAGGACCAAGGGTCTGCCCAGCATCAGTATGATTTTTGTCCTTTGGATTTATACCCAGGAATGGGAACACTGGGTCAAATGGTAGCTCTCTTTTAATTTCTTTGATAAATTTCCAAACTGCTTTCCACAGTGGCCAAACTAATTTATATTCCCAGCAACAGTGTATAAGCATTCCTTTTTCTCTGCAGCCATGCCAGCATCTGTTGTCTTTTGACTGTTTAATAATAGCCATTCTGACTGGTGTGAGATGGTATCTCATTGTGGTTTTGATGTGCAGTACTCTGATGACTAGTGATGATGGGCATTTTTTCATAGGTTTGTTGGCTGATTATGTCTTCTTTTGAAAAGTGTCTGTTCATGTGTTTTGCTCATTTTTCTAATGGGGTTGTTTTTCATTTGCTCAATTGTTTAAGTTCCTTATAGATTCTGGATGTTAGATTTTTGTTGAATGAATAGTTTGTGAATATTTTCTCCCATTCTGTTGGTTGTCTGTTTACTCTGTTGATGGTTTCTTTTGCTATGTAGAAGCTCGACAGTTTAATTAGGTCCCACTTGTCAATTTTTGCTTTTCTGTTGCAATTGCTTTTGAGGACTTAGTCATAAATTCTTTCTCAAGGCTGATGAACAGAATGGTGTTTCCTGGGTTTTCTTCTAGGGTTCTTATAGTTTGAGGTCTTACACTTAAATATTTAATCCATCTTGAGTTAATTTTTGTATATGGTGAAAGGTATGGGTCCAATTTCATTCTTCTGCATGAGATCCTGCCTTTTTAATGCTCTCCCAGGTGCTGTTAGAGCTGCTAGCCTGAGATACCACCTTCGTTACCAAATATGTAGAATAAGTGTTGCTGATATAAAAATATCATAAACTGCTGTAGTTACATGAAGTTTACATTAAGTAGTATTAAACAGCTCATTTTTTTTACAAATGGGCAATTAACATCACTAAATATAGAACTAGAAGTTATTTTTAAATCAATTCCAGAATGATTCTCATTTTCTAGTAATGACATAAAATCATAAAGTATGTACTGTACAGAAGAAAGTAGTTCAAGGTTTCAGTGAGCTATAATTATGCCATTGCACTCCAGCCTGGGTGACAGCACAAGCTGCTGTCTCCAATTATAAATAGATAAATAAATCCAAAATAAATATATTTGTACGTGTTATTCTCTCCCTTTTTTGTTTCTGACATTGTTATTTATTTTTCTCATCTTTATTCTTAATTAGTCTTGGCAGTAATTTGTCTATTTTATTGGCTTTTTAAAAGAACCAGATCTTGCTTTATTAACAACTTTACTTTGTTGTTTTCTATTTATTGAGTTCTGCTTTTATGTTATCTCCTTTCTACTTCTTTAGGTTAATTTTTTCTGTAGCTCCTAGAGTTTACTACTTTGCTCACTTACTTTTAGTCCTTATGTTTACCAGTAATTGCATTTATTGCTAAATTTTTAATCTTAATATTGAATCCTATATTTTGGATAAAATGTGTTTTTGCACCTCCATTTCTAAAATGTTAAAATTTATGTTTTTAATTTCTGTTTAATCAAAGAGCCATCCAGATACATCTCTTAAATTGCTAAGAGGTTTTTAATAAATACATACATAAATATATATTTATTGCCAATTCTTTTGAAGTGAATATATAATTTTATTATATTTTGATTGAAAATACATTCTGTATGTTGCCTACTTTTAGAAATTTTTTTAAAATGCGGCTTAATACATTAGCAATTTTTAAAATACGCTATTATCTTCTGAAATATATATTATTAGCAGTCTTGTCCTAATATTTCAGGAAATATAAATGGAATTGATTTTGTTCCCCAGGAAAATATTTGATTGGTGCAAAAGTAATTGTGGTTATTGTCATACTTAAAAAAATGGCAAAAACTGGTATTAATTTTACACCACCTAATATAAATTGGGTAGGCATACACAGAAGAGAAAAAAAACAGGACAAAATATATCAGAAATATTGGATAGAAAAACTACACTCCATTTAGGACTCCCCAAAAATTATTTTAATAGGTAAATTTGATCATACATATAAGGGGCACAGTCTTCTATTTTATTCAAGGTGTTCACACAGGAAAAGACAGGCAGACTTGATAGGCAAAACCATCATTTGATCAGATTATTATCACTTAATAAACTAGGTACCCAAAGCCAAAACAAAATATTGATACACAGGGGACAGGTGAGGACATACTTTATATTGATTTTCCCACCCTACTGATGCGTGCTACCTCCCTGCATTTCATTAACTTGGTCTATTTGGGGTTCAATGTTTTATATTTCATATGATTGCCCTATTATGATAGTTTTTAATCTGAAAGGACATATCTTCTCTCTCATTCTTTGTCAATAGTGTCTTGGCATTTTTGCGCATTACTCCATATATTTTTTAGTGTCAACTTGGTGAGCAAATTATATAAATCATAAGGATTTGCATCTGATAAAATGCTGCTATATGAAAGACATGATAGAGCGGACTACTCCTTAAATATTGTGAGACATGGTTTCCTGTGCTCCTTGACTCTTGAAAGCAGAGCCTGGAACACAGGCTGCCATGCAAGGATTTTCCTTTGAAAAGTGATGCCAAGTAGCAAGAGTGAGGGAGGTAGCATGCATCAGTAGGGAGGGAAAATCAATGTGAAGTGTGTCCTCCAGTTAGTCTACACAGCGGGCAACTCGGGCTTGATCTCACCATGATCCTCTAAGGAACCATGTATAATGTACTTGTGAATTGTCTTACCAAGAAACAGAGAGGGGGGCATTTTTTCTCCAATTCTCATAATCATGGGTTGCCATTTTAAATGTTAGTTCCTATCCCTTTCCAGGCTATGCTTGGGTGAATAAAGGAAGATGTCCTGCCAGTATCCAGTGGTCTTGTCAGAAATGCCCTGGGGCAGAAAATTAGAGCAGAATAGTGCAGCTAAGGAAGCTGACTCTTGGTTTGACTTAATCTGGTGGCTAGAATAAAAGGTGTATTAGAGTCCAAGAATGTCCAATACAGAACAACTGGAGATTCTTAGACCAAAAAAAAAAATTTAAAAAAGACATTAGATGGGATGACATATTTATGTCTGATTTTATCTATACCATGACATTATGCTGGCTTTCTGAATGTGCTATGGTTTGGCTGTGCCCCCAAACAAATCTCATCTTGAACTGTAGCTCCCATCATTCCCACGTGTCCTGTGAGGGAGGGCAGTAGGAGGTCATTCAATCTTGGGGGCGGGTTCTTGCTGTGCTGTTCTCATGATAGTGAATAGGTCTCACGAGATCTGATGGTTTTATGAACGGGAGTTCCCCTGCACAAGCTCTCTCTTGCCTGCTTCCATGTTCATTTTCCACCATGATTGTGAGGTCTCCTCAGCCATGTGGAACTGTGAGTCACATCCAGAAACTCAGAAACAGCTACACAAGACCTTGAAAACATTTAGTTAGAGTTTTAATGTCATCTCTTCTTTCAGATGTACCATTTTGTCACCTGAACTTGGAAGGCTTTACTCCTTATCTCTAGCTTATCACTTATAATTTCTCAGCCTTGTTTTAGCTGCACTTCATTAATCTGTAATGAATTTAAACATATGGTCATATTCAGGTGATTTTAATAATTTGGGGCAAAGGTGGAAAAAGAATGAACAAGTTATGAACAGAAATGCTTTCAGTCTTCTAATAAGTAATTTATTTTTAACATTGAGTATATGATTATATTGTTTATCTTAAGGTGTTTTAATTACAATTTATAATTTGCCTACCTTCAAGAGTACTTAAGTTATGCACAATAAGCATGTTTACACATTTAGGAAAATAGGCTAGTTTAATTTTCAACATTAGAGGCTATTACTTAAAATTATAATGGTTCAAACCCTTCAGAAAATTCTACACTATAATTTCTATAAGTTTCTTCATACAGACCATATTTTTTTTGGGGGGGGGGACTTTAAATGACAAATTAATTTACACAAGGCAAAAAACTGAGGAATAGTCAAATTTTAAGAACAAAATAATAAAATATTTAGAATGATAACTTATAGGAGCCAGTGGACAGATAACGATTCCTAATAGACGAGATGAGGAAGCTGGCTCTGTTTCTTGGAACACCATTGTGTTTTGCTCTCCTACACATACCATTATTGGTTTCTGTGTACATCACAAGGATCATATCTGCCTGATTCACTACACAAGATGTGATATCTTGGACAGATTTGGCAGGATGAACATGCAAAATACATGAACTAAATTTCCCAACTCCTAGTGCTCTGTACCAAGATACCCTTGGGTCATTTAAAGTCCACCTGAGGTGCTACCTTTTAAATGACAGATATGCATACTATCTTTAATAGTAATCCTCTGTGGAGTTCACTAACAATATTAGAGATGCATTTACTTTTGTTCAAGAGTATTACAATAATTTCTTCTTTACCAGACCAATTTTTAATTACTTCAATTATGTTCATGTAATTCAAAATATGCATTCAAGAAAAGAAGCCCTTCAACCAAAAGGATCTTCCTATTTTTGTTTCCTAGAATACTCTATCCATGAATGTAAGTATTTCCACTGAAAATGAAATTGAAACCATTCATTCCAATGGTAATTTACAAGCAAGGGGAAGTAAGCTATGTAAACCCTTGTAATTGATGGACCTTATTTATATAGCCTTTCTGAATGTGCTTTTAATTATGTTTGTTCCTAGTCCTGAACTGTTATTTATAATATTTTCTGTTAATAATTTGAAAAATATGCTAGTACTTCCTGACGGGAATCTGGTTTTTAACCAGCCAAGTGTAAACTACTCAAATCTTTTCTCTGTCAATTAACTAAGAGAACCACATCCAAAATAGGCCTGACACTAAAAGACACTTAGTGACACTATTTATCTTTAACACTGTTGAGTAAACCCAAAGTCCCAGTTTGGAGATACACAATGTATTTTTTCCAATAATGATGAAACACCAAAGAATCCAAATCTCTTTCTGAATTTCCTGCTTTCATTTTAAGACAAATTATGCTCAGCTGCACAAACAAAGTAATTGACAACAGAATTTCAGTAGGAAGAAAGGATGTTTTCAGAATTATGGAAACCTCTCAAGAGAGAAATGTCTAATAGCCATAGCAGAAGTGTATATTCAAAAGTCATGGAGCTAAAGGAACTTCAATATAAAAATGTCATTTTCTAAGAATAATGCTGCCTAATTCTACTTTAAAAGCAAAAAAAAATATGTAAGGTTATTACCAAGAGGGTGTTAACCAGATGTTCTCAATCTCTATACGGAAGGAATGTCTGTAACTTAGATGGAAGGCAGAACAGCCACACACAGAAGGTTATTAAGTCTTGGGAAGGTTAAGAAGTGAAGATGTGAACAGTATTTTAAAGATTAATTAAATTTCATCTATCCATGAAACTTTAGGTTGGAAGAAAGGCAGGCTAGATTGATATCCACCTTATAACCTACTTTCTTTCTTGTTTTATGAAGCACTTGCTTTAGTAATATAATAAGTAACATGCTAAAAATGGCAATGGAAATTATTTTCTTGGTTGCAAAATAATATTCTCACTTAATTTGTGCATCTTAACTGGGTCTACATTGAGAAATAATGGGCATGATATCCTTCAATACATCGTATATAATAACATACCTTGGAGTCAGAAAGTTGTGAACTCAAACTCTGCCCTTTTCTCCCTGTGTGGCTTGGGCAATTTGCTTAACTTTGAAGATGTGTTCTGAAACCTAGCAAGCACAAATGTTACTAATGAGCTCAGCATCACACCTGGGAGGAGTGAGTTTCTGTCACTAGTTTCTAAGTTGGTTTCCCTAGTTGGATTGGAGTCCATGAGGGCAGTAGCATCTTTTACTGAAGTGTCAATCTTAGTGGCCTGGCTTACCATAAATATGCTTTGAACTCATGTTAAATATCTGTCATTGTTAAAAAGACAGTAGTAAAACTGTGTGCCAATGAATGTCTGCCAAAAATCCTTATGACAAATAGAACTTGAGAAAAGAAATTCACATGCACACTGTGAATTGGACACTCATAAAGAGGAATAATTTAATGTCACTTAAAAACAACACAATCTTCAGTAAGTGAATATCAGAGGATAACAGCAAAACCTCAAAGACTGATAAAAAGTCCAAAGTCATTGCTGAAAGATATCTCTAAACACAAGAAAATTTAATAAACTGAGCACAATGCCATTTAAGACATTTGTAGTATTTGCTATCTTTGCTAAGTTGCTGGGGTAAGGCAAATGTGATTCTCTGCCAGCAGATAATTGCCAGAAACAGGCCCTAAAACATCCCAGGGATAAAAAAAGATATGCCAGTACATTGAAAATTTAAAAGAAAGCTAAAATAAAACAAAATATATGACACGCTTTTTCCTGTTGAGTACTATGTGTTTAAAATACAATATTTTATGTACACATACAAGTGCCCACATATATGTTACTTAATTAAGGGAAATCTTGTAAATAATTAGACTTGTCATGAAATAAGATTATATTCAAAATATTTATAATGTTTTCCGCTAAATGAGTGATATCATTATTGTTTGATGTTTATTCTTCAACATGATGTATTAGTAATATTTCTGTATGATATTGAGATATGTGAGCTAACATCAAAATTAATAGGAATTGGACATTAGCCATATCATGTATTGATTCCTCCTTTGTATGCCATATATTATTTCCCTTTGTTGATTTCGTTACTGGCTATAAACTTCTAATTGTTTTATCAGAATTATGCCGAAGGTGGCAAAAGTGTGATTGCCAGAACATGTGGAATAACTCAACTGTGATATGGACATCTTTATACCAGATCATCTAGAAGAAAAAAATATCATTTAGTAAAATATAATCCTTAAATGTGTTACTCTTACATATCGCAGAATGACGAATCTAAAAATATCACAAGAAATAAGAAATAAAAGAAAGGTCTCCACTATAAGATGCTAGCTATCTTTCTTTCATTAGTGTTAGGTATTTCAGCTTCAGGCAAACCCTTGTTATGCATAGCAATCTTATCCTGGTCTAGGAACACCTGGATGTACAGTCCAGAAATTGCCTTGATGGGGACAGGAGAGCCTACTTCATTTCTTAAGAGGTAGAAACATTGTTTTAGATTTATCATTACTAGAAGTATTCATGTGCCTACCATCCAATTTTTCTTGAAACACTATCTTCACCAAATGGAATATGCTACTAAGTCCATAACACTCAAAGCTGTATTAAAAAAAACATGTTTAAAATTTTTATTTTAACTTCAGAAGTACAAATGTAGTCTGTGGCATGGGGGTTTGTTGTACAGATTATTTCATCACCCAGGTATTAAGCCTAGTACCCATTAGTTATTTTTCCTGATCTTCTCCCTCCTCTCACCCTCCACCCTCCAAAGAGCCCCAGTGTGGGTTGTTCCCCTCTGTGTGTCCATGTGTTCTAATTATTTAGCACTCACAAACATTATTAGCTAACTCTAACTATGGAAATGATAGATTTTTTTAAATTTGAAATTATAGGTAAGTATAAAGAAGAAAATTACTTTCAAGCCTATCCCCAAGCAGATAATGTTAGGAGGAAATAGAGAACAAAAGCAGAAGAAACATTGTTTCTATAGCTCCTGGTCACATCCTCACCACTCAACACCTACGTCGCCCAGTTCACTAGAGAAGGCCCACATACAATGAGTGCAATTCCCTCTCATCTTGTCTACTCTCAAGGCATGTTCTGAAGGACCATTGTTCATATCTTACCAAATTGTATTCTCACTAGTCTGTTACCACATTTGTCTCTGCCACTAGACTGTAAGCTCCTCAAGAGCAAGAGCTGCATGGTTTTTTTTCTTTAAATATCTAAAACCTAATTATAGTGACTGGCAAATATTAGATTCTCCATTATTAAACTATTGAATGGATGAATGAATGACTGGACCCCAACTCCTGGGTTCTTTAAATTTAGTAATCAAGTCAAATTATTCCTCCAGAAGCCTAGTTATTCCCTACATGACACTTGCAGATGACTAGAACATTCCAGAAGTTTAATTACAGCTACGTTTTCTCTCAATAAATTGGCTTTTGATAGCAGTGATTAACTGAAGCAAAGGAGAATCTGTCAAGATTTCTATCTAATTCTGTGTTGCAACGAATTTCAAAAACAAACGTTTTATTAAAGTGATTACATGCAGATAATTACTATTCCTGAAATATGTTGGCGACAGGTAGTATACAAATTGTACAAATGCCTATATACAATTATAATAGAAGACTTTTAATCTGATATGATTGGGTATAACTGGTTAAAAATTGGTGAAGATGGTAAGTTTTTTAAATAGGTGAATATTCATTTCTTAATCTTTTTATTTAGGAAGAAGCATTTTCAAAAATATTTAAAGTAGTTGTCTAATAATTGCATTTTTGAATAGTATTTCTTGTATGACACACCAGCTTTACATTTCCTACAATTTCCAATTTTAATTTTTTAAGGTGAAATAGGAACTTAAAGACAATTGAGAAAGAATCCATGTGCAAAATCCTTGTAGATACCTTTTACTGTCTACTGGCAAACTTTACAGCTACTTAACAGCACCAGATTCTACATTTTTTTCCATTTTTTGGTAATTAGACTTACTGAGCCTCCCCAAGACATTCTGCTTGGTTATCATGGAAACAACAGCTATCTTTCTGTATGTATTCATGTTTCATTGGTTTATATAATATTTAATTAAATTACATAATTACAAGAAAATTACAGCTAGAATAAAATCACTTGGGAATAAAAACAACTTACTCTTAGGAAGTATACAAAAAAAAAAAAACAGAAAGGATGCTGGGGCATTCAGAAGAGTAACTAATTATTGGCAAGTACTCAGTGTGCCACAGACGTCGGTGAGAGTGACTTGGCCAGAGGATTGGGAGAGCCAATTACATGGAGTTGGGTCAGGAGACTGTCCTGGGGTTCTCATGTTTTGATCCCCAATATCCATTAACTATCTGAAACACTACTTAATTCCATCCTGGCTCATCTATCTTGCAAAATGCTCACAGCTTCCCTCTCCTCTCCCTCTAGCTGCCTTGAATCTAGTCTTCCCAAGATTTGAGAACTAGTGCTTCTCAAGTTTTCTGTGCTGAAGACGAATTTTCTCACCAAATTTTCACAAACCTATATTACACTTATAAAACACATTTAAGTTACAATAACAAAAAAGACAAAATACTAGGGCATTTTAAATTGTAAGTTCAACAACAAAATTACTCTGTCATGCTGCTATAAAAGTTTCTAAACATTTTCTCTCAATTTCTATTCTTATTTTCTTATGGACCAGGAAGAGTTTGCAGAAGAGCATTGGTTTGCAAACTACACTTTGGCAGCACTTATCGAGACCAAACCTATAGATTAACTACATTTGTATTTGTATATGACATATGTATGGACAACATGATATAGAATACACTTCAAAAGCAGATATAGAAAAGGAAAACTAGTAACTTTGTAACTGCTCCAGACCAATCTGATTCATATTTTATGTACCAAAGTTGTGAGTTGTTTTTCTGTTGCCATGAATCCCCAAGTTGAAGGTCACATAACCTGAACATGCCTAGAGGAACCACGTATGCAAATACAGGTGTAATCTAAGTGCTCAGGCCAAGGAACAGGGACTGAATTAAGAATATGGACATGACATGGTAGGACACAAGATCCAAGCAGACTGCCCTGGTGTCACCCACATGGCGAGGATCCAGTCAGATCATGCCATCCAGCATCACGTCATTACAAGATCCAACCAGATCATGCCTCATTGCCATATGCTTATAAGAATAGACTCAGCCTACAGCTGGTAGAGACAGATTTGAGCATTTCCTGCTGTTTCTCTGCAAGTCGGCTCATTGCAAAAACCCAGTGCTTCCATGTTTGCTTTTACATTGTGCATGTGCCAACAGACTCACTTTGGTTCTGTAACAACTTTTCAAGGTAAAATTGAGTATTTTCTTCAGATGGATAAATTTCTTTCATCCAGCATTGACTTCCATGAGTAAAAACAATAGGATTCTGAGAACACATGGTTTTATGCTATACTATGGGTTAATTCTTTTTTAAATAATGCAGTTAAGAAAATTAATAATATTAAAATATAAGTATATGTAATATTTTTAAAAAGGTGAAAAATGAAGGTTATTGAGAGAAAATTAAAGATATTCCTGCTTTAATCATTTAACTCTCAATTTTAGTTCATGACAACGTGATGCTTCTTTGCTAGCTTTTATTTTGCATTGTGGCTCAAAAAGAAATCGTACAGAACTAATTCTTCCTTATTTTGGGGCTTATTTGCAGAATAAATTCTTCCTTATTTGGGGGCTTATTTTCCATAGCTGGTTAATATGTAAGTACAAATATATGCCCACATCAGAAAATAATCTAGCTACTTCCCTTCCATATATGTGCCCATGAAAGGGGAAAAGAAAATGAACTGATTTTAAGTTAATCAGAAGGGCACGAGGGATAATTTGTAATATGAAAACAATAAATATGGGCAATATTGGGCTCGAGCTCAAAGAGGCAAGGGATAATGCCTTTTTAAAAACTATGTCAAAAACAAAAATTCCCTAAATTATTGGCTACTTATGCATTTGGTTTGGTTGACAATTCATGGATAGTTTAATTGTAATGTTTAAATTGTGCTCTATCATCATTACAAAGCCAGCTCTCATGCCAAGGTAAGTCCCAAATACTTTTGCTCTGAATTAAATGAAATCCTGTAATCACGGTTATAACAACATCTGTTTGATATTAAACAGTTGGCTGCTAAAAATAGAGAGTTTCTTTTCATCTGTTCTATAAAATCACAGACCTAGGGATAAGTCTTCAAAGTACCACTCCTCCCCCAAACTTCAAATATTAAGTAGATAGTTCTAAAAGTGCTATAGCATTTACCATTTTTAACTTGTCATAAGTTTAGATATCTTTGTTACTTTCTCATTTGTTAACGGGGGCGGGGGGTGGACTAAAATCTTTTGATTTAATTAACTCATGTTTCCAGAATGTATTTTGACCATTAGAATTTTCAAGAATACCTTGTTTTATTGTGCTTTGCTTTATTGCACTATGCAGATATTGAATTTTTTTACATAGTTAAGGTTTGTGGCAAGCTTTTGTCAAGAAAGCCTTTTGTCAGTGCCATTTTTACAACAGCATGGATTCATGTCTCATCTCTGTGTCAAATTTTGTTAATTCTTACAATATTCCAAACTTTTATAATTATTATATCTGGTATGAAGATCTGTGATCAGTAACCTCTGATATTAACAATTGTAATTGCTCTGGGGTGCTACTAGCCTCGTACATATAAAATGATGAACTTCATCAATAAATGTGTGTGTTTTGACTGCTCTACTCACTGACCATTCCCTTGTCCCTGTCCCTCTTCTCAGGTCTCCCTAGTCCCCGATAAAGTGACATTATTAAAATTAGGCCAATTAATAACCCTACAATGGCCTCTAAGTATTCAAGTAGAAGTTTCTTATTTTAAATAAAAAACTAGAAATAATTAAGTTTAGTGATGTAAGCATTTCAAAAGCTGAGATAAGCCAAACTAGGTCTCTTGTGACAGCTAGTCAACTGAATGTGAAGGAAAAGTTCTTGAAAAAAATGAAAAGTGCTACTCCAATAAAGACACGAATGACAAGAAAGTGAAACAGCCTTATTGCTGTTCTGAAGAAAGTTTTAGGGGTCTGGATAGAAGATCAAACCAGCCACAGCATTTCCTTCAGCCAAAGCCTAATCAACAGAAAGGCCTTAACTCTCTTCAATTCTATGAAGGCTGAGAGAGGTGAGGAGGTTACACAAGAAAACTCTGAAGGCTAGCAGAGGTTCATAGGTTGAGGGAAAGAAGCTGTCTCCACTATCAGAAAACTTCAAGCTGGGGCAGCAAGTGGTCATGGAGGAGCTGCCGCAAGTTATCTAGGAGACCTAGCTATGATAATTGATGAAGATGGGGACACTAAATAACAGATTTTCAATGTAGATGAAACAGCCTTCTTGTAGAAAGAGATGCCATCGAGGACATTCACAGCTGGAGAGGAAAAATCAATGCCTGGCTTCAAAGATTCAATAGACAGGATGACTCCCTCATTAGGGGCTAATGAAACTGGTGACTTAAAGTTGAAGCCAATGCTCACTTACCATTCTGAAAATCCTAGGGCCCTTAAGAATGATGCTAACTTTACACTGTCTGTGTTCTAGAAACAAAAAAACAAAGCTCAGATGTCAGCACTTCTGTTTAGAGCACGGTTAACTGAATATTTTAAGCCCACTGTTGAGACCTACTATTTAGAAAAAAAAAGATTCCTATCAAAATATTACAGCTTATTGACAACGTACCTAGTTACCCAGGAGCTCTGGTGGAGATGTGTAAAAAGATTAATGTTGTTTTCATGCTTGCTAACAGAACATCAAATCTATAGCTCATGGATCAAGGAGTAATTTTCACTTTCAAGTCTATTGTATTTAAGAAATACATTTGATAAGGCTATAACTGCCATTGATAGTGATTCCTCTGATGGATCTGGGCAAAGTAAATTGAAAACCTTCTGGAAAGAGTTCACTCTTCTGGATGCCATGACAAACATTTATAATTCATGGAAGAGGTCAAATATCAACATTAACAGCAGGTTGGAGAAAGTTGATTCCAACCCTGATGGATTTGAAGTCTTTCTTCAAGACTTCAGCAAAGGAAGTAACTGCAAAAGTGGAAGAACTAGCAAGAGAACTAGAGTTAGAAGTGGAGGCTGAGTATGTAACTGAATTGCTGCAATCTCATGAAAACACTTGAAAGGATGAGGCGTTTCTTCTTGAAGATGACAAAGAGTGGTTTCTTGAGGTGGAATGTAGTCCTGGAGAAGATGCTGTGAACACTGTTGAGATGACAATGGAGGATTTGGAATATTACATGAACTTATTTTGTAAAGTGGTGGCAGGGTTTGAAGAAGTTCTGTGAGTAAAATGCTACTGAATAACATTGCATGCTACAGATAAATCTTTTTGTGAAAGATTTGTGAAAATTAATTGACACAGGAAACTTCATTGTTTTCTTTCATTAAGCAATTGTCACAGCCCCCCAACTTTCAGCAGCCACTGTCCTGATCAGTCAGCAGCCCTCAACACTGAGACAATACCCTCCATCAGAAAAAAAACAGTAAAACTCTCTCAGTGCTCAGATGATCATTAGCATTTTTAGCAATAAAGTATTTATTAATGTATGTACTTTTTTTAATCCATAATGCTATTACACACAAATTTTAAATGCACTGAGAAACCAATGATGTTGTGTGACATTATTGTAATGTTTGCTTTACTGTGGTTGTCTAGACCTGCATCTGCAATATCTCTAGTTTACCTGTATAATACACAATGTGATAATCAACTCTTCTCTTTGGTTTTTGTGTTTATTCATTAAAGTGTTGTGCTTATATGCAGAAATGTCCCTGGGATGTGCATATTTTATAACCTCTCCTTGTAAGTCAAATTCTCAAGGTCCTTAATCATTGCTTATTCTTTGTGAGCTTCTTAAAATATTTCCTTTTTGATATGTAATTTCTAACATTTGCACTTGTTTCTCTAATCAGTGTAAGTACAAATTGTTTTACATTTGATCTCTGCAAAAAACTTTTAACTGAAAGCCTAAATAAAAAAACAAATACAAATATTCCTGTGTTGTAATTGCTCAAGTCTAAGTGGATGTGATAATGAATATTTTGTCCCACATAATCTTGACCTTCCCTCCTCTCTTCCAAGTAAATGACCTGGTTAGTCACAGAGTAGTCACAAGTACCAGAGGTCTCTTGATGATATCCTTGCTTTGAGAAAACTTGGGTTTAAGCATCAAATACTTCATATCAAGCTTTTGAATTATTCATTGAACTCTGGGTTTTCCTAATGAAGAACTGATAACACAAAAGTAAAAGTATGCAGACTACAAGGACAATGTAAGATCAAACCTTACTCAGTCTTACTATAAAATGTATCACTACCAAAAATGTATTAATTCTATACTTCAAAAAGAAAAACTCCTAATCAATATTTTCCTCATTTAAAAAGGTCAGACAGGAGCAGCAAGAATCACTTGGGCCCCCTTTTAGGCAGCCCAGGAGATTTCTGTAAGTCTTGCTGGATTGGTCAGGGTTAGTGCTTCTGTAAAGGAGAGAAACACACCAGATTGAGGAGCAGGGTAGGTTTACACTGGTGCCAGGGCTATTGCTGTAGAACATCCTTATATCTGTTTTCACTGACTCTGCTTTGAAGTCCTTCTGCCTTGACTGGAAATGATTTACTCTAAGAAAGATTGGCATTTTCTGTGGATGTAAGTGATGCAGTCATAGTGAGCCATCATAAAATAATGTACTGACCAGTGTGCTAGGATAAATCCTCAGTATAAAACACAGAAACTGAAGTGGTTTCATTTTACAGAGAAAAGGCATGTCTTGCTGGACAGCTTTGTTTTCATAACTGTGCGCCACATTTTTTTCTTGGACTTAATATAGTATTAAGAGCATTGTAATCTTTATACACCTGAAAATATTTCCTTTTGTCTTTCCTTTGATTTTTAAGAGGATTGATGTTGTAAACTGGTTAAATCAGGTTTGTGCTACTGCCTTCTTTTAAAATTCTTCCCCCTCAAGAGCACATTTGATGAGTTTACCTGATACTGATCATAGGTTTGTTCAGCTTATGTTATGCCAAGGAAAGGTAAGTAAGAAAAAAAATAATGTCATTAGGAAAGATTTCTCTAAGAAGAAAAAAAGAGTGTGATAGGTATGAAACGCATGTATTCCACTTGTTAGCAATAATGAAAAAATCATTTTTAAATTGAAATCTATAGTGTATATATCCATAGTAATAGAATCAGGACTTCTCCATAGTTGCTTAAATAATTTTATTTACCACAATTCCTATAGAAAGCATATGATCTATGTAAATTATATTCAGTAAAAAGACTTTTGAGGAAAAACACCTGAAGTAAGAAAAATATTATTTATAAAAAGTCAACAACGTATATTCCCTATATAATCTCATAATATTTATATGGGCAAAAGGAAATCAGGCATGATTTAGGACTATGGGTCTATCAAGATGACACTTTAATTCTGTGTATGACTGACCACCTCTCTGTACAGTGGTGTCACATGGATGAAGAAGCGTGCCTGTTCTTTCACAGCCATGCATGTGCACACACTCCTCCACTCCACTTCCCTTTACCCTTCCCTAAATTGAAAGCCATCCTGTTACACAGAGCCTATAGCTTGATCTTTCCTCACAAGCTACTTTTTATCTTTTAATTCCCCCTTTGTATATTTTTGCTTCCTTCTCTCTTTAATTTAAATTTATCACCCATGGATAAATGTGTCAACTTAAACTTCGCAATCTTGGCTGCACAAAATGAGAGTTGAAATCTCTGGGTCAGTAGTTTCTCATGCATAGGAAAGTATGTGGTATCCTTCTGGGCTCCCTCCCTTGTGCCAGTCTTTCCCAGGTTCTAATTAACTCTTTACTTTTTCAAGCTCCTGGCTGAACAGTCAATTCTCATGGACTGCTGGATATTCTACTTCGTTCCCATTAAAAGTTGTGCTGAAACATTTAGCTTTTCAGTTCTCCTAGTTCTTGAAGCACAGAATTATTCTCCCTAAGTCAATGCATAATATAACAGAAGCCACCCACCTCAAATTTTCCGATATGTGAGTAGTTCTGCTCCAATTACAAGTCAAGATATATAATCACGAACTCCAAAATTGCATTGAGAGAAAAAAGGAAGAAGGAGGAGGAAAGAGGGGAGGAGAGAGGGAAAAGAGGGAGGGGAAAAGAAGGATTGTGAAAGCCAAATACATTGGTTTTTAAATTTTCAAGAACCATCGGTAAGTGAGTAAGTAAATAAATAAAAGGATTTCTCCCAGAAGATGGGGCAGACATATTTTTTAAAGTGAAAGGAGTATTTAGAAGAATAGATGATCAATTCAGAAATGTACAAGGTTACTCAATCCAGCAAATGACAAAGGGCAAGTAGAAGAGGAAATAATCTAACTAATAAAAGGAAAATGTTTTCTAAAATAACAAACGCCCTAACCTGACAGTAAAAAAAAAAAAAAAAAAAAAAAAAGACCCACACAGTAGCAGAATAGATAAAACAAACAAAAATAAAAATACACTTAAACACATGCTGATAACATTTCCAAGATAAAAACAAAAAGGCATAGAGCGTAGAATTAAAAACAGTTCTCCACAGGGACAAGAGTCTGATTTGTTTCAGACTTTTCATTGCAACGAAGAATGCTTAATGACAATGAGTCTGTCTAGAGGAAAAGGACTACAAACAATAAGCCATTCCTAAGCAAAACATTCACCATATACCAGGGCAAAATAAAGACATTATTAATTAGTTGTGTCATCCAAAGCATACCTCACAAGCACTCAAGCTGAATAAAAGAAGAAAGAATCCAACGAAGTAGAAACTGTGAGAGCCAAGAAGAAGAGAAGTTAAGTTTGGATGAATAGAAAGGACTCAATGATGACAACTTTGGCGTACTCCTTAAAGAATTTCTCCACTTTAGGATATTTGACAAGTAATACAATTAGGAATCAGATTATTTTAGAGATATGGTTGAAGGCCACACTCACTTCATTTGTCAAGATAAATGAAATGCAGTTGGAAGTTCCATGGGAAATAAAAGCAGCACATGATAATCATAAAATAAATATAAAGATGAAAGCATGTTATTGTTTTGAACAGTTGATGGATTATAAGAAAAGGGATAGTTGATCTTGATGCTTAGAACATTCTCTTTTGAATGGCACAGACTTAGTTCTGGAGTGTTATGTATGATCTAATCAACGTATGATCTAATCACACTCAAGGACTCTGCAATTTATGATATTTATATAGTCATAACATTATTTGTTAGTTCTAAAATTTTGGAACTAACGTATGGACAAAGTAATGGACGGTTAATTGACAGTACAGAACAGCATTTAAGTTTTGTAAACTATGCTAATTCGTTGTCTAACATATATTTGTGGCAGGTATTGCTCTAATAACTGTGGATTCAACAGCAAAAACCGACAGAATGGCTGGCCATGTGAAAGTTCACATTAGTGGGAGAAAAGTAATCAAATTAGTAAAACAGATATAGAATTAAGTTGGATAGTAGTAAATGTTATGGCAAAAAATAAAGCAGAGTAGTAACAAAGAGGAGTGAGGGTGCATGGCTATTTTATGAAGGGATGTAAAGCAAGTGCTCTGAGAGAGGAAACTTTCATCAGAATCCTAAATACCAGAGAAACAGCCATAAAAAGGCACTCTAGCAATGCATCCAATGACCAGTGCATCAGGTAATGGTCTCTCATGTTTGAGTCCCAGCAAGAAGCCTGAGTCCAGAGAAAAGGCAATGGGTGAAGGGAAGTGAGAGCTGATATCCAAAGGAAAGGCTGGGGCCAGGTATTATCAGTAGGGCCTTGCAGGTCATGCTAAGGAGCTTGATCTCCTGAACATGATGCGGGGATGATTTCATCAAGCAATCCTATACAAATTGGGGACTGGGAGAGGAAGAAGATGTATGGAGAAAGGGATTCCTTGGGCTATACAGCAGGAAGGCAAGAGACACTGTTCAGAAGTTGATGACTCAAGAAATACAGCTTTAAAATATCATTTAAAGTTACGGAGGTGGCCAGGTGCAGTGGCTCACACCTGTAATCCTAGCACTTTGGGAGGCCGAGGTGGGCAGATCACCTGAGGTCAGGAGTTAGAGACCAGCCTGGCCAACATGGTGAAAACCCCGCCTCTCCTAAAAATACAAAAAGTAGCTGGGCGTAGTGGTGGGTGCCTGTAATTCCAGCTTCTAGGGAGGCTGAGGCAGGAGAATCATTTGAACCCGGTGGGGCGGAGGTTGCAGCAAGCTGAGATCCTGCCACTGCACTCCAGTCTGGGCAAAAGAGCAAAAGAGGGAGACTCTGCCTAAAAAAAAAAAAAAAAAATTTATGGAGGTAACCAGTATAAAAGTTTTGTTGCTGTTGTTTGTTTTTTGTTTTTGTTTTTTAAAAAAAAAAGGAAAAAAAGGGGGAGGGAAGAAAGTATAAATGAGTTCATTGTTTATTCTTCATAGCTAATGATGAAGTTATATAAAACAAGAAAAGGTGTATTAAAATAGTCCAAATAGTAGTTAGACTAAGATTGAGAAAAGGATTGCTAAATTTCATTGCTTATCTTTATTTAGTATGTGGATTATTTCATCCTGTCCATGGCTTTCATGACATTTTAGTTTTAACTTTCGTTAAAAGCAATACCAAAACTCTAAATATTCAAAGTTTGTGAAGTTGAGAGGAGAAAATTTACATCAGTTGGAAATGATGCTTTCTGTCTTATCAAGCACATTTACCACAATTTGCCAGTTGAAAAGCCGTATTAGAAATCATAAGCATAGAAATATAACATTTTCTTGGATTATAATCTCATTACAGCATGTTCGCAGAGACTTATCTCAAACCTAAAAACACATATTTCCATGTATTTGGGAATACATTTCAAAAAGGAAAAATGTCAAAAGTCTTTCTACATGCTGTTAGCATTTTTATGTTTGCAAACACTGCATTAAATTGATTTTGAAGACATTTTCTGGAATTATTTTCTTCTTATAAAATCTGGATGATACTCATAATTAGATAAGAATTCATTATCATCTTTGTTTATTCCTGCCTACCTTCTAACTATAAGAACAAAAATGGGTGGAAAATAGGTTCAAAACCTGCAGAGCATAATAGAAGTGAAAATAAAGTACCAATTAATATCAGCAATGTCACAGTCACCTCCAAAATGCCTTTGAGCTCATCATTTTTGACATAGCTTGAAAAAGCTTGAGTTGATTACCAAAGGAAAATGAATGAAAGCATATTTTAAATATCCATTTTTCATCTTACACTATTTTGCATTTTTGGAGTGGAAATGTTTAAAGATATTTTTTAAAAAATCTAAGAAATATTGTGCCAATATGTATTTTGAGAGAAAATTTACTCAAAAGATACTTCTTAGTATCTAAAACAAAAGTGTATTTATAAAAGTTATTTTCAAATCACTGTTCCCTTATACATCAAAGGATTATATGATGCTTGAAAGTACACGTTGAAATAAATATTTAAATTATAATATTTAATATTTCTAATATTCATGTGTAGTTTTTCAAGTTCATTTCAATTCTCTATTTTGTTGGTTTAAAAATGAATAGAAGTGCTTTTTATTGAATGTTAAAAAATAACATGTTGGAATATTGTTATTTGCATTATACCTACTGCTGTCAATCTGAGAAACACAATTTTAAAAAGTAAGTAAATCAATTTCTCATTCTGCTAGCAAACATATTTTAGGGTGATTTCAGGAAGTATTTTTATAATAAAAAGTGGAGGCTCAGTAAACTTCTAAGTAAAGTTTATTCCATAAACTTTCATTGCTAAATATTTCATAAAATTTTATTTATTTATGGACTCATTTCTATGACTATTTTCTAATTGAACAAGCTTGATTATTCTTTTAGCACAGATTTAACTCACATATGCATCGTTTCTGAGCAGTTAGAAAATTTATTTAATGTTATGAGATTCCATTCTAAAGAGGAAGTTTATGATTAGAAGTACAAGGATGACTTTTTCATCATTTTCCAGAACAGAGGTGTGATTTTTTTTTTATTATTTCAAAACAGGCTAATTGAGAACAACTGAGATTTTGGTCAAGGCCCAGTGAGAATGACAACATAGGTGAATGTTGTTGAGGCTGATCCTGGGGAATATCAAGTGTTAGTTAAGTCAAAAAAAGAAAGGCAACTCAAGCTTCAGCAATGTCATCTTCAGTGTTTGCCTGAGAGTAGGACCTAAAGGTGCTGATACTGCCTTGTTTTCAATAAAGTTGTGCGGTGACAGTAACACAACTCAATTTATTCTTCCGAAGCCTGCATCTGGCACAAGGCCACCAGTGATGTGTAACTCGGTTTAATCACATTGGTCAGTCTTGGATTAGGCAATCTTGCAAGGGTAAGGCATTTTGTGAGCATTACCACTTTCAACAGCTTTCAACAGTTGGTGTAGAGTCCAGGTATCAACTTTGACTGCTGCTTTTCAATTTGTGTTCCTTCTGGAGCACAATTTTAAAATATGTTTTTGTGGAAAGAGATGAAACTTTTGAATAACATACAATAAGCTATACGGGAAAATATATTTTGAAATAGGCAATGAACTATAAGGAAATCCTTATTTTCAACAACCAATTTCTCACCCAGATAAACATCTCATCAAGCAAATCTATGAAGGCAAGCCTCATGGGCTCTATTCACCACTTCACGTTGCATTTCAGGGCCCTGTCTATGCACATAAAGAGAAACATTGTGCCGTAAGTAAAAAGAATCCAGCCACAATTTACAGAGTTCTTAACAGGGAATGTTGCATGTTTTTTATTTCAGAAATATTAATAAAAGAGCAAGAGAGGGGGAGAGAGAATTGGAAAAATCAGATGTGTTGCTGTTTCTCCTTCATAAATGATGTATAATTATATCAGGCATGCTGAAACATTTATGGATATTTCAATGAGAGTTGTATAGAGTTTTAACAGAATAAAAGCTTATTCAGTTACTTACATACATACTTAAATACAGTGAATTTTTCCATAAGTAGTTAAGTTTACTAGAAATCTATAGAAGGTGGGCATGAAACAATTAATTTTATTTAACTAATATGCACTTAAAATTGGCATAATTCTCAGTACTCCTAAGCTCTGCTTCTTAAACTATAAAGAAAAATGTTCTTTCAAAATATAACACGTTGGCTGGGCACAGTGGTTCACTCCTGTAATCCCAACAATTTGGGAGGCCAAAGTGAGTGGATCACTTGAACCCAGGAGTTTAAGACCAGCCTGGGCAACAAGGAGAAACCCTGTGTCTACCAAAAAATATAAATACAAAAAATTAGCCAGGCATAGTAGTGCATGCCCGTAGTCCCAGCTGCTCAGGAGGCTGAGGTGGGAGGATTGCTTGCGCCCAGGAGACAGAGGTGCAGTGAGCTAATATCATGCCACTGCATGGGCAACAGAGTAAGAGCCTGTCTCCCTACACACACACACACACACACACACACACACACACACACACAGATATACATACACACACACACATATATCTCCATATATATATATGAATGACACATTAAGAATAAATTACAGATTGGCCTTGGAGAGCATACTACTATTTATCAATAGCTTCTCATAGAGTTTGATGATCATCTGTAAAAAGATAAGTTAACTTTATCATTTAAACTACCTTTACTGTTTTAGACGTATTAATTACCTTGATTGTTATTTATGTGAAAGCACTAAGACTTATGTAAGTTAATGATACATGTATAATTCTTAACAATTTAAAGCAATTGGAGAGCCCTTGACTAGTGTATCACCCTAGTCACTATTGATTAGCCCAACAATGTACACCCAGGCTTGAAGATGCTAACAATCTAGCAGAAAAGAGAGGCCAGAAATTTCCTCTCCTCTATCTTGCTATTTATTACATAGTCCTTTATTATTTTTTTTCAAATCTACTTTTTAGCAAGAAAAGATTCATCATAGTTCAATAGAATTTATGGAAACCAGGCTAGGTAACAAGTATTTGACCCACACAAATTTGCTTTTAATACAAAGTGATCCATGCAAAGTTGCTTTTAAGTAAAAGTAAATGATAGAGTACTTTTATTCACTTAATTCATGAAAGAATTAAAATTAAGAGAGATGTAAGAAGAGAAATTTTATGTGTTACTGATTATATAAATATAGAGAAAAGTAAGGTCTTGAACAGACTATACATATTTTCAAATTAAATACAAATTTTCAAATATTTGCTTCACCTGATTTTATAAATTCTAGTGAGTGAAGAAAAGGCTTTCCTCATCAAAAATTTAACTGAAAAAAGAGTGAGAAAATAAGTACTAAAATTTAAGATGGTAGAAGGAAAATTTCTATATTTTCTAATGATCCATAATGTTAAAGCAAATGTAGTAACTGTCAGCACAGGAACTAACGAACAGTTCCTAGAACTATCTTACAGTTAATAATATTTATTTATCAAATATAAGAGACTGCCAAGCAGGCCATTCACTATCAACAGTGTTCCATTTCATTGTCAATGTAACTGTAATTAAACAATTATATGACTTAATAAAAACTTATAGTATACTTTTCTTCAAACATTGTAACTGTGATTTTAATAGTCATCAAACAAATGCTGACTTCTTAAAATAGTTTCAAATATTGTAAAATGCATTTGACTGAACATGAAATTTCTTAAATTACGGGAAATAAATCTGGGAACATAATTTCAGAAATATGCTTCATTCAGTCATGTTGGAATACAGAAATTGTAATTTCAGGTCGCATCTTATTCCATGGGCAAAAGGCAACACAGTGAAGCAGAAAAATCATAAGATTTTGATAATAGACTGACCTAGGTTTTCTTTTTAGCAACTTTATTTACTAACCGCATGACTTTACACATACTACTGAACCTCTATGAGTGGAACCCCAAAGTGTAATTTCAGCATTTTACATAAATGGCAATTCAATGATGCAAATAACCATTGTATATAAGTCAACCTTTACAGCAATGGGATAGGGTAGGTACTGAAGTATATATATTAGTTGTTCTCTCTAACTATAAAACTTCCAAAATCCATGTGTCTGAAACTTGCTAAATGATGATTATTTTGCTCACTAAAACATGATTTTTTGATTACTGAACAAGTTAAATTTAACAATATATCACGGCATATAAGATCCTTTTTAAAGTTTTTTAAATTTCATAACTTATCATAACATAGTCAATGTCAACTTCCAGGCCCATACAGGACAGCAACAATTAAGCTATTGGCCTTATATAAATAAAACCAAGAGTTGTATAATGTAATAAACATTCAGTTAGAAAAACCTCAGAAACATGAAGGTGTGAATAATTTTTTCATTTGAAATAGCAGTATGAATCTGAAAAAAGTGTTTCATGGAAAAACAAGAAGTCATCAGCTCTGAAAACTCTTTTATCAGATTAGCGTCAAACAGGTTTATCTTCAATGTGATAAGAGAAAAAAAAAAACCATGGCAAGCCTTTAATCCTACAGAAGAAGCCAAATTTTCCTTTCATAAATACAGAGGAGTTTAAAGATAATTTAAAAAAAATATATAGGAATAAGCAAAAGTGGCTTGCAATTGTAGTCACAATGAGCATAACCAACCAATAATTTCTCAACTGCCCAAAGGTTGATGCACAAAAGTTCTTTTGGTAGATCACTTCTCTACATTATAACTAAAATATACAGACTTAAAGCAGCTGCTGACTTTGGGGTAGAGAAAGGAGGCTGGAGAAAAAATAAGATGTTTCATTTTGTTACCTTTCACTGCAAGAGGTAAATTACTTGTGTTCTTATTGAAAGAAAAGGATATTTGTGATTTAAAATCTTACTGTGTTCTCTTTATTTGGTAAGGAAAGATAAATGATAATGGGATAACTTAGAGAAAACCGCTCTGGACAGTAAAGCTGAAGCGAATAGATTAAAAATGGGTCAGAGAGAAGAAATACACTAATTGTTTTTTAGGTGCACAATTTTAGGCACTCCAGCATAGTGAGGATTGGCTAGGGAACAACTAAATGACAAAGAAGAAATCCACTAATTAAAAATAAGTTATTTGGGATGATCATTTTGTAAAAAGAAAAAAATGCTGCAGATAGGAAAAGGTAAGATAAAATAAAATAAAATAACCTCTTCATTAAAACTGAAATTGCAATTTCATAGAGGAAATCTTGGCTACAATTCCAGGCTTAGATCTTGCTTCAGCATAAAAATGGGGTGGAGGTGGTGGGCAACCAGAAGTTTATAGGTTTAACATAGAGAATGAAATTCTACCTGCTCCTTTGCCATAGCTTTCTGTGGAAATGTGTTCTCATGTTGAGAGTCGGGCTAGAAAGTAACGCAGTCTTAGAAAAGAATGACGTTCTTGGGAAAATGAATAGGTTTCCTGATCTTGTAGGAGGCATGGCAAACATTAAAAAAAAAATTAAAAAATCAGTTTTAGAATCAGAAAATTCTAGTGAGAGGCCATAAAAATCAAATAAAGGGGTATATTTCAGGATATATATATATTTTTTCCCATTTCGCTCACTTTATCAGAGCATCTCAGCTGCCAGGGAGCTGTCCATGGTCCTAGACTTTCTAACAAATTTAGTGAATGATCCTTTTCCACCCTTTGGACCCCACCTTGTCCTCCTGACTTGCACTACCACCCACAGCCATTATTTATCACAAATTAAATTTTGTTTGACTTTAGGTATTACCCAGGTCAATTATATATCAACATCCACATCAAAAATTGACTTCAGCTTAACCCAATACCAGCTCCTTACTCCAGGCAAACTTATCCCTATTCTTACTCTAGTGAATATTGTCTAAATTGAGTTAAAAGCAAGTTTTCCAAAAGGTTAATTCAAAGTGCAATCATCAGTTACATCCCCTAAAACCAAGTGAAAGATATTCTTTGTTATTAAAGTAACTAAATGCTAAATTTTCCCATCCTGAGTATCTATATCACTACAGATCTGTAGGTCTCATTCTAACAGAAATGCATAAGCAATCTAACAGATACTGGTTTCACTATATATAAGGCCTGCTTAGGCTGAATGACTAATCTAAGACACTGGACTGATTTAAGTGACTGATTTAAGACAAACTGGAATTGTATTTAAATGTATAATCAATATCCTTTCTGCTTCCAAAAATAATTACAGGGAATTTAAAATAAAAGGCACATAGGCAACATTGCTGCAAATTAGAAACAGGGCGAAATATTTAGATAAGGACAAGAAGTAAATATTTAAATATGGAGGGAATAGTCATTGTGATTTAATGTTTTAGGTCTGACCTGGATAGACAGAGAAAAATGGGAAATAGGACCATATACATACAATTTACAAACAGGCCACATGTTTTTCTGACTCTGGCCTTTGCCTGAGATATTTATTTAACTGGAATGCCTTTCCTATGTTGCTTTCCCTATTAAAATGCCATACATTTCTCAAGTCTGAGTCTGTGTGCCTTCTCTCCTAATCTCCTATTAATCCCCCCTAATGTGCTTGATACTCCTTGTTTTGCACTCATGTAAGATTTTACTTATATAACTTTTAACATTTATTTAAAAGATAATCATTTGTTACATATCTGTATTTTCAAACAGACTTTAAGTTCACTGAAGACAAAAAACATATCTGAGAAGTAGTAAATCATAGTCACTCAAATAAAGTTTTGTGGATTGTTTGCAATGGCATCCTTCAGCAAGCTGTTTATTTAAAAATAATACTTCAATTTTAATTTTGTTTTTGCCTTCTGGGATCGCCATTTGTGCTATTAAATAGAAACCTGAGTACTCAGTGTGTTTTCACTAAGCAGGGTTAGACTTAGACCAAATAAAAATAAAAATAAACCCTGTAGAGAAAATAACTCCCTGAAGTAAATCTGAGGTTTAAAATAGCAGCTTATAGTATAGTAGAAATAGAGATGACCTAGGTTCCCCTGGGCAAGTCTCAGATACTCTATAAATCAGAGAACAAGCAAACCTCATAGGATTTTTAGAAATATATTGTGCTAAAATATAATTAACATAAAATTTACCATATTAACATTTGTAAGTGTGCAATTCAATGGCATTAGACATATTCACAATGTTGTGTAACCATCACTTCTATCTACTTCTAGAACTTATTCATCTTCCCAAACTGAAACTGTGTATCTATACATTAATTCTTGATTCTGCCCTCCCCTCAGCACTTTATAACTTCTATTCTACTTTCTTTCTCTACGAATTTGCCCACTCTAGGTACTTCATGTAAGTGAAATCATGCAATTGTTGTCTCTTTATGCCTGTCTTCTTTCATTAAATAATATTTTCAAGATTCATCCACATTGTAGGATGTTGTCATAATTTCCTGCCTTTTTATAGCTGAATCATATTTCTCTGTGTGTATATAGTGCATTTTGTTTACCCATTCACCTGTTGATGGGAACTTGGGTTGTTTCGACCTTCTGTCTCTTGTGAAAAACACTGCGATGAACATAGGTGCACACATATCTAACGCTCTGCTTTTAACTTTTGTATTTATACCTAGGAGTAAAATTGCTGGATCACATGGTAATTATATGTTTAACTTTTTAAGGAACAGCCAAAACTCCCTGACTTTTACAATAGTTAAATGAGAAAGGGCTTTCTAAGCACTAATAAAGTCTACTCATTCTTCTCTCAACTTGTGCTTATTTCTGGTCTCTCTTACTTCTTGCTTTAGCTGCTGAATTCAATTATTTCTTCAACTCCTCAGTATCTGCCACCCCACACTCTATCTTATACATCCTCTCTCCTATCAAAACAAAGTTATCTCATAATCCCAATTGGTTGATAAATTGAAACGTTGACAGCAAATAAATAATGGCTTCTAAAGAATGAATTGGGAATCCAACCAATATTGTATATATTCTCAAGAGCTTTCTTTAAAAAGTGAGTTAATTTTATGAATGGCTTTTGCTTTTTTTTCTGATTAACTCATTTTTTAAGAAAGCTCTTGAGTATACCTGGACTGCCTGCCTCTGGACTTCTTTTGTATAAGAGAGAAATAAACTTTTTCTCATAAAAAAAAAAGCCAAACACACAAAAATCCTAAGGCTTTGAAATATTAAGGTACCTTAATATACGGAAGGGATGAAAGGGTTAAGTGGGCCTCTAGGAGCCCAGACAATGCATTCAGTCCCTTCTCATGATACGTAGTAGCCTTGGCCTTTCTTGATAGGTTTGGTAAAACTAGCCTATTTAAAAATAGTAGTAACAGATAACATTAATATGTTAGCACTTATTGGGAGCATTTTAAGAACTTTACATATATATTAATTTGTTTAAGCCTTACAAAATATCTTTATAAATTAACAAGCTAAGCAACAGAGATTAAGCAAATAAGTCAAGGCCAATAAGAAATGGCTCTAGCAGTATTTAAACCCAAGCATTCCTGCTGCAGAGACTGTTGGTAACCACTACTTAATATAGCACACCAAATATCAGCCAATGAGTTGGCCTCAACTTTCAATTCCTTACAAGTCTTAAGTGCTGGGACTGATTCATATGCAATACTCAGTTACTCAGCCATAAATTGGCTTACTTCAACAAATATTTATGTAATGCCATTACTTTTAAAGGCAACAACTGCAATTACTTTTGCACCAACCTAATATAAACCAGATTAATATTGGGATGAAGAATATAGGATAAAGGCTTCAGAGATGAGGGGGACAGAATTGATTAGAAAATAATTATAATTCTGTAAGAAAACAATTATATACTAAGAAGAAAGATAATTCAGTACACACATTAGACAAGCATTTATTTATTAAATTAAACTGATTTTCTACATATATGACAAGAACATGAAATTTAAGAAATGAAAATATTCCAGCAAAGAATTCCAGCTTGACAAAAATGAACTTGATTAATTACATAATCACAAATATCTGAAGATATTTGTTACAGTATTTTAATTTATTGTATGTGACCTTAGAAAAATAAAATGTTATATAGGCTTTAAAATCGGCAATGGGATAATATGCTCAATTCTTCTCCATATAAAAATGTTCAGCTCAATATATTAGAGAATATAAAGATTGATTGCTAAAAACAAGAGGAGCTATTCATCAAAACTACTGTTCTTCATTAAATGAAGAATACCAAAAAAGGGTGACTATAAACTGTTTATTTTTAAGTATTCAAACTCTGTAAACTCTCTATATTCACCACCTCAAAAGAAAATGTAGAAGGCAAGAGTTGAATAAAACTTTGAAAACAATTTTTAGTCATATATGACTCTTTTAACAATTCCTTAAAAAGAATGATTCACAATGTATGTTTACTCATTTTGGTAAAAATGAAAAAGTTCTAGGCAGTCAATGGTAGCAGAAGACACAGTATTGTTCTTTCTCACCAAATAAATGCTGTAGTGAAACCAAGATTATATGCCAATAACCAAAACATTTTAGTCCCATGAGACTGTTGTACTGAGGTACAGAAGAAAACAGGACAGCCTCCAGCAGGCCTCATGCATCCTTCCAATGGGATCACAGAGACTCCAAACACCCTTAATCTCAAGACAGCCAAAGGATATTGTCAAGATGAGAGATGTACAACTTTACACATTTATTTTAACATTTAAAATACTCTACTAAATGCTACATCATTGAAATATTGAAACTAGTTTCTGATTTTATCCAGTATGCTTCTGAAATCATTATTCATTAGTATTATCAGAAGTTGGATTCTTAATCCTGATTATGTCGCATTGAAGGTGAAGGCAACTGGGTTAAACCTATTTAAAGTGATGTGATATAAACAAAATCATGGGGGATATAAAGATTTGTACTCATATAGGACACAATATAAGATAAATGCTGACTTATCAAAACTGCTATCCAAATTGACTAGTTAATAAAAGCAAAGTAACCACTTCTGGGACAAAGGCACATCAACATCAGACTACAGTTTTTGAGTTGTTGTGTGATATAACAGAGAAGAGATTTAAAGTCAGAGAACCTGGCCTAGCAAATTTCTGGCTCTGTCAACTAAGTTAATCCTATTAGGTATGAATTTCTTCCAAAATTCATAATCTGAAAAATGAGGATAAAAATAAAAATACTCTTCAATCTTTCCTACTGGGGTTGTTGTGAACGCAAGGAAAAATATTTGAGAAAATATTTTTCATAAAATATAACATGCCCCCTTAACTGTGAAATGTCAGTGTAGGAAAAGAGCTGTTTGTTTTTTTGTTTGTTTGTTTTATCTGTGGGAAGCTAATGTGACCTTATAGAAAAATCAACTAGCGACTCCAGGCTCATCAGCACCAGAGTCCAACCAATTAAGCTAAGTGGCATAAGACCACCCACATTTCAAAATAAAATTTCAAGCACATGAAATAGAGTAATGTGTTTATAATGTTAAATGAGGTGTTTCATAATTAATTTTAAATGGCAGGTGTTAAGCTTATACATTCTCTGGCACTTCATGCTCCATAATGCCAATATGAAATTAAAAATAACAAAATACAAAAAACTAGCACTCCATGTGGAGATAGTATGAGCAAAATTGAAATGTCTCTACCTTGATCATTTGGAACTACTACATGCATGGCCCCGGATATAAGGCAATTGACAACCAGGCTGCAATGGGCATGCCTCACAAAGCGTGAGACTTGACATCAGCTCTTTCAGGTGCTCTTGGCATCTGACACTGCTACCTGGAACAGCCAAAGCTTCCTGGCTCTCAGTCCTACTACAGGCACTGGTCTGCCTTGAGGCCTTTGTGCTGCCTACCACAGACCATTTTTAAAAATGAATACACTGGTACTCTCAAATGAAAGAGAAAATAGACTTTTGCAATTAAAATAGTTCTCTGTAGTAACTTGGAAATGGGTGGTAGTGACTTAAATAAAAGATATCTTAAAATCTTTATTCATAATATTAAGTCAATTTCAAAGCAGTGATTTTTTGCTACCAGATATATGATGCATTTTTTTCAGTTAAAAGAATGATTTTGACATTCCAGAAAAGCCTTTGTCATCATTTTACAGCTCCTTATGAAATGGGAGAAATAATAAACTATTTCAGGATTTTGTTTGTCCTACATGCAGATAAATTATCTATGGCTCCTTCTTAACTTTAGGCATCCCTGATGTTTCCAGATTGATAATGTGGTTAAGAGTTTTAAATGCTATCCTTCTTTTTTTTAACATTTAGAGTATTTTGTAATATTACAATAAAATTTTTACTTAAAATACATGTATGTAAGAAGTTCCAACTGAGTGTCAGGTACTGTTCTTAGAGCTGGGAATATAAAGGTGAAAAAAATAAAATAAAATAGTCCCCTAGGTTGCTCAGTGACATTATAAAAAACTTCAGTCCTTTGCTTTTCTGCTCTGCTACCCTCAACATGACATTTGAGTCAGCAGAAAATATTCATTTTAATCTTTATAAATATTTTGAAGTTTTGTGTAACACATTTAAAAATTTTGCAGGCTTGGCGTGGTAGCTCACACCTGTAATCCCAGCAATTTGAGAGGCCGAGGCAGGTGGATCAGCTGAGGCCAGGAGTTCGAGGCCAGCCTGGCCAACATGATGAAATCCCACCTCTACTAAAAATACAGAAAAATTAGCCGGGCGTAGTGGTGGGCACCTGTAGTCCCAGCTACTCGGGAGGTTGAGGCAGGAGAATCTCTTGAACCCAGGAGGCGCAGGTTGCAGTGAGCCAAGATTACACCACTGCACTCCAGGCTGGGCAACAAGAGCAAAATTCCATCTCAAAACACAAACAAACAAACAAAAAATTTGCAGTGGAAAATCGAGAATAGAGAGGTATGAAGTAATAAATCTGTCATGGCTTGCATGCTTGTGTTCTGCCAATTTCATATATTAAATCCTATGCCCCTGTGTGACGGTGTTAGGAGTATAGCATTAGATGAGGTCACGAGAATGGAGCCCTCATCAATGGTACTAGTGCCCTTAAAAGGGTCATGAGAGAGCTTGCTTCTTCTGTCTGCTTTCTGCCACATGAGGACACAATGAGAAGTTGGCAGCATGCAACCTGGAAGAGGACTTTCACCAGAACCCAACCATGCTGACACCCTGATCTTAGACTTCTAGCCTCCAGAACTGTGAGACATAAGTTTCTGTCATTTACAAGCCATTCAATCTATAATACTTTGTTATAGCAGCCCAAAAGGACTAAAAACAAATAATCTTCACCCTCCCACCACAATAATTAAGGTTTCAAGATGTAAAAGCATTCATCTACAAAGAAGACACAATTCTGTTTGAAAGGAGCATACAGCTTAACTGAGTAAATAAAACACACATATATGTAAAAATATAAATTGTACTTCAGGCAAAATATAAACAGTAGTATTGATAGTTCAAAGAATTGAGAATAGAATTTAAAATGTATACAGGACCAGAATTTGGGCCTTTTGATGGCTAACGTACTGTTTTAATCACTAAACCAACAGTATCCAGTTAAGATGTATACATTAGACTTGCTATATATTAAAAATAATTATTAAATACAAATGAAGTCCTAATTAAAATGATTCATCCTTATTCATATGCCTAAAATTTAAATTCAGTATCATAAATTGAAGTCTTGTCAAAGAGGTCACTGTGGAACCTCTTTGACAAGATTAATTTTGAAAAGAAAAGCTATATGTTTAATATTAAAGCAGAAATACCAAAAAAAGATATTGTATTGAGTATTTCCTATAGTTACTTAACAGCAAATGATCTTTGTATGGGGTGGTAATGAACAAAGCTAAATATCTTTTTTATTTTTTCAGTTACCAGTAAGAAAACAGTTTTACTGATATTAATCCTGACATACTCATAGGAACCACTTAATAATGATAAATGTTATTTTTCAGAGTTACATGGAAATTAAGGATTTAATATCTAGACTTTCTTTCTTTTCTTTTTCTTTTTCTTTTTGTTTTCTTTTCAGACAGGGTCTTGCTTGGTCACACAGACTAGAGTGCACTGGTGCAGTTATAGCTCACTGCAACCTCCACTTTCCAGGTCCAAGCAATTCTCCCAGCTCAGCCTCCCAAGTAGCTAGGATTACAGGCGTGCACTACCACACCTGGCTACTTTTCCCTTTTTTTTTTTTTTTTTGTAGAGACAGGGTTTTGCCATGTTCCCCTGGTGGATCTCAAACTCCTGGGCTCAAGAGGTCTGCCAGCTCCAGCCTCCCAAAGTGCTGGGATTACAGGCCACCATGCTCAGCCTAGACGATTTCATTTTCTCTCATTTTCTAAAGATGTATATATTTTTTTTCAAAGAAAATGGGCAGATTCTGATAACAGAGAAATCTAAATAGCAAATATTTCAATTATTAGGAACTACTTAGTACCAGAAACTGAATGTGCCTTCTAAAATCAGTTGTTTTATAGACATATGGAGCTGCGAGTGCAGAGGATGCTGTGGAATGCCGCTTACACCCTTCCTTCTGGATGGAGGCACTCATTTCTCCCAGCTACTGGGGATTGCTGGCAGCTCAAAGCTCAAACCCCTGACAGCACCTTCAGGGCAGCTATGTCCAGAGACTGGTTTGTGTGTACGCATAAGGGTCCAGTCGCACTCATGGCTGGATGGGGGCATCCCAGTTTGAAAACACCCAGTGGGATCACTGGTAGGATCAGCTGGGGTTATTGTTCTCACTGCCTTATAGTACAACTCCCCCTTTTGCATCCTTGTTCCTTCACTTTCCCTAGAGACGTTGCGTTGCTCCTGGGACACTGCCCCATAAATTGGCTGCAAACGCATTTTCATCTTAAGTCTGCTTCCTGGGAAACTCTTCTGAGATAATGAGTTTGGAATAAATCTTTACTCCTGTCTGCTTATTATCTAGCAGTCTATTCAGTGAATGTGTAGCATTTGTAGCTAGACTTTTCAGAATACTGCTAGTTATGAGCCAATATTTTCTAAACAAAATATACTAAAATGTTCTTCTCTAAATTATTATTGACCTAGAAAAAAATCAATACAATTAAGCAGCTGTCAAAAAAAGGGTACTAAAAGTTAAACTCAAAGAAAATACAAAAATGCATCTTGCAGGGATAACACAGCTAAAAATCAATGTAACCCGTAGCATTTATCAATAGATAAAGACAATAAAATAATCTAGTTAGCAGCACAAGGTATCATGATATCTTTGGGTAATATTGAGTTAAAGTTCGAGAAAATTTAGACATTTCTCTGAAATTTCCAATAAGTCAGCTCATATTCTGAACATTTCTCGCATTATAAAATGTATTTTAAATGGATTGCTTCCTTTAAAACTGAAGAAATATTGAAATTGCTATGATAAATAACCAAATATCAATTTTTGATCGATTTCAGAAACATGTTTAACCACTCTAGGTAACATAGAAATATGAATTTAGTCCACCCAGTGGCAGGCATAATGTAATTAAGTTTTATTTAATACCATAGAATATCCAAATTGATTTCTGTATATTATTACCATTAGTTTTTATTGTCAGCTCTTGCCGTATCTTCCTTAATCAGTTTGCTAAGCATTCACAAACATATACCCCCAAATCCCATGTTATACAATTAAATTGCATATCAGCAGTAAATATATAAGTATTTTTCAAATAGCAGAATTATCAAAAGTAATACAATGTCCTGTATTTATCCACATAAATTCTGTAAGTTGTCAAATATCAATCAGAATATTTATAAGCAAATTATCTTTAGTTTTATGAGAACTTCTACTTCTGGAATTGCAACATACTGCAATACCATTAAAAAGGGTAATAAACAAAGCTAAATATCCCTTTTTATTCCTTATCTCTAACTCCTTTGGAGTTATCTTCTTCATACTTATCAAGATCGAAAGAAACACCTTAACAGTCATGGAAGCAAAGTTACCAAAGAATAATGACAAATGTAATGTGGACATAAGACACAGCCATATCCTCTGTCTAATACCACAGCTGCTGTCCTAATTCAAAACCTCATTATTTCTTACCTGTATTCTTGAAACTGCTTCCCAGTCACTTGCCCAGTCTGGTACCCTTCCTAGCCATCAAAGGCAATCATCCTCAAGCATAGCTCTTACTGTGTCACACTGCTAATCAAAAGCTTTCAATGGCTCTTTGTTTCCTATAGAAAGACTCTCAAAAAGGGAGGCCAAAAACGAATAACACATACTTGGAGATATTGATACCCCCAGTTCTTGTTGCCACGGCATAGGATCTTGTGGCCATAGAATCGAATCTGGGCACATAGAAAGGGCCTAGGTCAGTTGCTTTGAAATGAGAGCAGCCTCTTCCACTGACCAGACTGGACCATATAAGCGTTATCAGTCATCTGTCATGCATTGCTTTGAGACTTTACTCTGTATTTCTGGTTCTATAGCTTTGGCTTAGAAGACCCTCCTTAATCCCATTCAACTCCCATTTCAGTCACATCTGCTATCTCTCTGCGTACTTCACATTCCAGCCAAATTCCTCTAAACCTATATACCAGGCTTTCTTTCTCTGGTTTCCTCTGCTCAGAATCTCCCTGTATTGGATTACTAACACTGCCATATAAAGCACCATAAACTGGTTGGCTTAAAAAACAGAAATGAACTGTCTCACTATTGTGCAGTTTAGAAGTCCAAAAGCAAGGTGTTGGCATAGTCGGTTCCTTCTGGGGCATGTAAGGCAAAGACCTATTCCAGGACCCTCTCCTTGGCTTGTAGATGGCCATCTTCTCCCTGTGTCTGTTCACACTGTCTTCCTTCCATTTGTGTCTCTGTGTCCCTTTTAATAAGGACACCAGTCATATTGAATTAGGACTCACAGTGGCGACCTCATTTTAACTGGATTACCTCTGTAAACATCCTATCTCCAGATAAAATCACATTCTGAGGTACTGGGAATTATAACTTCAACATACAAATTTTAAGAAAACACGATTCAACCCATAAGAGTCCCTTGTTTCTATTTCTCCATATCCACAAACTGAGAGGGCATATTTTTCCATGACAATTGTCATGATCTGCCATCTGGAAGCTACATTTCCTTCCTTGAAATGTCTGCACTGAGGGCACATGTCCCATTTTAGCCTATTATAATTATAATAATATGTGTGCACATATCCTTGGGGACAGTGACTGCTTTGTTCATTTTTTTTTTTTGCTCATAACACCTAGCACAATAAATTATACTTGGTGAACACTCAGCGAATATTTGTGAAATTAATAAATCACCATCCATTTTAGTAATGGTCTTGGTCACGTAACAAGCTGCTGAGGTAAAGGGAATGTCAAATATTCAGAAAGATCACAAACTTCTAGACTTTGAGGTCTCTGACTAGATACACTGTTTGTGATGAAATCATGATGGCTGCACATAAGTGCCATAAGGAATTTTCTATTTGTTCCAGTTTAGGTACCAATATGACTAGATAACAAGATGACCTTTAGAGATATTCCAGGTCAAAACCAACATGAACAAACAAAATAGTTATATCACTTTAAAAATAGGGACATCATTTTAAAAATAAGCATTCTTTTCTTTTGGCATGTCTAGATATGGACTCAGCAGCAAAATTGCCACTCTTCCAGTCATATCTACTTAGTTACATTCAGGTGCGTATAAATCAGCTTTAGAGTGGTTATCACTCCATGGTCTACTAGCTGTCATTTCTCTTGATGGATTTAAACTTCTGAATTTCCCATTATTGGTCCACAGGCCACTAGGTCAAATTGCATATTTATCTACCATTAGAGGGCATTTTCTCTTGGCTGTGTTTCACAAAAGGGAATCTCATAATATACAACATTTTAAAATTATTCCTATTGTTATCTATCTGTACAGATACTACCCATTCCATCTGCATGCCATAAAACACTAGGTTCAGAATATGTTTCTCAATTTCTTTCCAAATTAAAAAAATATATACGATATATTTTCTATAAATCAAAAATGAAAATCAGAATAGAGCTCTTCAGGAGAATGTAGAGGCATTTCTCCAGGTCTGAGGTCTAACACAGCTTCCTGACTGCAAAAAGCAAGAGTTAAAGACAGTGTAGAGATGCTCATACTGAAATTGGTCCAATCAAGCCCTTCTTTTTCTGCAGACAAAAGGAAGAGCGGAAGTTCAGGTGGACCCAGGTTGTCCATTCCATACTGATTCTGACATGTTCAGCAGTTACAGAAAATTTCCTAGCTTCCCACTGAGCTCCGTTCCACCTTAAATCTGGTGTGTGAGTCATGTGATAATTCAGAGACCACTATTGGGTCAAAATGTAGGCAGCTATAGGGTAGAATTTCCTGAAGTGGTAGGTGAGTGGGATGAATGGCCAATGACAAAGGCAAGATAATCAGGTCTGTAAGAGAAAAGAGCTCCTAACTCTGACTGCAGGGAGTGGTCTCTACTTTATATTGCACAATTGTCTAGGTTTAAGTGTTGCCAGATACACTGGTACCATTTGTAGCCAAAACTTAAGCCCTTCAGTTGACAGCTATTTAGACTTAGTTACATTCAGACATGCTAAGATTATTTCACAAACATAGCAGGTGTTACAACTACTAAAAATGTGTTAGGAATTTATCCTACAACTATAGTCGCTCACATACAACATTGTGTATCATAGCAAAATACTGGAAGTATCCAAGTCTACATCAATACTGAATTATTAAAAGAGACTATGCTATATCTATGGAATGGAATGCTATGTATTGTATAAACAAGCATAAGTAGGCTTTCCTTGTACTGGTATGCAAAGTTCTCTAAGAGATAAAGCCACCTTAGAAAAAAGTTGTGAAAGGGTATGCATATTATGGTATCTTTTCTTGTAAAACAGGAAAAAAAATGGTGAACAATATAGATACAATTTCACATTTTTTGCCTGTAAATAGAGAAAGTGAACAGATACATAAACAGAATAGCTACCCTTTTAGGAGACAGTGGCAGAAGGCAGTATGAGAATTGGGAAATTTTTGACCATAGGTGGGAAAGATGTTTCTCTTTATACCTTTTAGTATTTAAATTTTTTAATCCATGTGGATAAATTATGTTACAATATATAAAATTTGAGTTTAATTGAAATATTAACACAAATGCAATTAGTTACATAGGTATCAGTATTATCCATTTTATCCCATGGGCCACCCACAGTGTAATGCCTGCTCAACAAGTTGATATGCTTTATAGAAATTATCTTACCTCCAAAATCAGTTATTCTAGGCATCAAAGTTTTAAAACCTGGGTAGTATTTTACCCTTATCTCTGTTTTAACCCTTGTAATTAGTCATGTGACCAATAATTAATGACAGACAGTTTATTAAAGAGAGTAAAAGTGATTTATGTGGTCCTCTGGCCTTCTTTATCCACTGCTGATGATTTGTTTACAGTCTGAGCACAGTTTAGTCTCAACCGACCATTTCAATGCCAAATTAATGTTATATTGTTCCCAGATTGCCAATATCTTTAGTCATCTGAAGAAGCCTTGAATAATTATTATGTATTATATTATATATAATAAGCCTTTGTAATGACTTAGAAGAGAAACTATAACTTCCTTTAATCATTAACACTTATATATTACCAATCACTGTTTTGCCTTTGTAATCCAATTATAAATGGTGAATAATATACTCTGTATTTATTGACATCTACCATCATCTAGAGAAACTATCCCCTGTAGGGATAACTATACTTATAAGAAGAACGATACACAATTTAAAATCACAGAAGCAAAAAATGTAAGAAACAAGAGTGAAAGACATCTTTTATGCAATGGCTTAGAACATATTATTAAATTCCCTCTTCAGCCTTTGTCTCATTTCTCCCTTCTAAATTACTAAAACTATTGCTTCAATCTAACACTTTATCATCTCTTGCCTAGAATATCACAACAGCTTCTCTGAACTTCTCCTTCTTACATCTCTCTCTTTTTAGTACTAATGTAATTCTTTCATAAACAAAACAAAACACACTTGAAGGAACAATCTTATCTTTATTTTAAACTAGATTCAGCAGAGTCTTCTCTGCTTGCATATTAAAATAGTCTGCAAATCAATTCACTCTATCCTGACTTATCTACAGTACCTCGCTTCATCTCTAGCAATTCACCGAGATAGAGTTCCAGACCATCCCATTCTATCAAACTTGTCCCAGGTTTTCCAGCTTTTATTCATTTTGTTATCTTGACATGAAATGCCCTATCAATCCATAAATATCAATGGTTTACCAAAGGTAGTACATGAGCCAAATTCAGAGAGCAGGTAGATTTTTGGCAAAACATACAGAACACACTCCCTAAGAGGAGGTATAAATAAAGATCTTATTTCAAGCTTCTCTTTAAATTTTGGGAGATCTGACAACATTGAGTGTCAGTTTATGAAGTTTATCATCTACTGGCTGTGGCTGTAAAGTTACACCAGCCATGCTGCACATATACTCTCTAGTTCTCAACAGTCCCTACCCTGGAAAGCTTACCTCAGTTGCCCACAAGCTCTCTTACACATTTGAATTTGCTCCTCATTCCCCAAATCCTAATACCATTTTATTTTTTTATTCTATTTTTACTTATTTATTTTTTTGAGATGGAGTCTCACTCTGTCACTCAGGCTGGAGTGTAGTGGTGTGATCTCAGCTCACTGCAACCTCTGCTACCCGGGTTCAAGAGATTCTCCTGCCTCAGACTCCTGAGTAGCTGGGATTACGGGCATGCACCACCACACCTGGCTGACTTTTGTGTGTATATATATGTGTGTATATATATACATATACATGTATATATACACATATACATACATACATATATATGTGTGTGTGTGTGTGTGTATGTATATATATATATATATATATATATATATATATATATATATATTTTTTTTTTTTTTTTTTTTTAGTAGAAACAGTTTTGCTGTGTTGGCCAGGCTGGTCTCGAACTCCTGACCTCAGGTGATCCACCTGCCTTGGCCTCCCAAAGTGCTGTGATTACAGGCATGAGCCACTGCACCTGGCCTCTGGCACCATTTTTTAAAGCCCAGTTCAAATCTTCATTACTTTGACCTGCTTTGGTATCTTCTGAAATTGTATAGTAATAAAAAGTAGTCCTTGGATCTAGAAAAATTACTCAACATCTCTCACATCCAAAAAAATCAAACAGTTATGGGATGCAGCTTTCCACTTCTTGTATTGGTTAAGATTTTGAAAGCACTCTATCTCTAGTTTTGGTTATGTGGAGTAATCAACATTCTTATATGTTCTAAGTGATCATATAAATGGGTTAAAATAGTCTGAGGGTTTGCTTGACGACATTTTTAAGAATTCTTAAAATGGACATACTGTTTGATGCAGTAAATATATGTCTGAAATGTTTCCAGATAATTTTTCAACAAATGAACTAAAATGTATGCAAAAGGCTGATTACAGCACTCTTTTTACTAGCACAGATTGGAAACAAAACAAATGCTGAATCTGAAGAGTTATACAATGGTGAAGTATACAACTATTAAAATAATTGATGTAGAAAAAGGATCACAGCATATTGTGAATACTGGTGAACAGAACAGTGTCCAGTCCATACATGTGTGGAGGATGTATAAATATATATTTGTGCCTCTGAATCTTGATCAACACGAATTTGTAAGTCAACTATTAAAACTATAGATGTTTTTTTTTTTAAGGAAAAAAACACTCTTCATTCGCCTCTTTAATTGTATATTCCTCCTCAAATCCAAACATCATCATCATAATTAAAAACCCCTAAACTGGAGACTTAAAGAGTTTGGAGAAGCACTGGAGTTGCATAAACATTAGAAATAGGTTTTAAGCAGATATTGCATAAGGAAGCGCACCTACATCATAACTACTTGTACACTGCACTTGTTCAAAGCTGTACTTGACTCACATTTACAGTTAGGACCAAGGGAAAAAAGCTATCAATATAGGATAAGATCACACTTGAAGTGAATCATGAACTTAATTGTACTCTCTTCATTTTAAAACAGAAATGGCAGCCTTTGCATTTGAGTTTTGATTAGGTGGGGAAGAACAAAACAACACCTTTTCTTTTTAGACTTTGAATTAACACCCATACCCAGGTATAAAAAGTCCCTTACACTGTCTTTCTTTGGAGAGAACATCTGACATGAAGCAGCCAAGTCATTTAGGGACTGACATTGACATAACTTTGCCACAAGCAACTAAAGCAATTACCAGGGCTGGTTTAGGCACAGCTAAAACACCTTGATAAGGCAGCAGTGAAAAATGACACATCACACAACCTGAATGGTTTCATCAGCACAACACTAAATCAGCATGTATGTCTCCAACACTCCTCATTCTGTCGATAATAGAATAATCAAACAGAAAGGAAGAGTGTTGTCTCCAATTTCTGCTGACAGTCGGAAATGAAAATAAAGTGATACATGCCTGTGTTGTGTCTTTCAAATGTATTTCACCCAAGATGGTTTCAATTTAGTGTCCCATAAACCACTTCATATTTTAAACCAGCGTGGTCTGTAGTTAATAAGCACAAGATAAGAGACTGCATTTACTGGATTGCTCATTTCATCAGAAAAAAAGTGATGTTTAATACACTTAACAAAAACTAAAGTCAAAGATAGGACATAAAATTAGGCCTATCTCAAGTTGATGGGAACCAAGCTACTTTAGAAAGGATACAATAAAACATAGTCCCAAAGTGAAATTTTTGATTTAGGGCTTCTGTGAGACAATTCTATTATAGAAATAATGGGATGACACTGTTTAAAGGCAACCTTTACCCCTCCAATAGTGTTTAGTAAATAAAAGTGAAATCTTCATTCTACCACACGCAGCCTGATGACCTAAATCCAAAACTGATTGTTAGGTTAACACAGTGTTTCATTGCTTCCATTTTCCACCATTTACGTGGTTATCTCTACTGCTGGTCTTTCCACTTGGCTTCTTGCCCCCTGCTGCCAGTGGCTGTCTGCTAATTTTCCTCCTCTATAATTCATCTTTTTGTATCCTCCCTCCTTAAACACTGCGCCTACACTTACAGGAGGAAAACTGAAATGCAAGGATAACATAAATGCTTACATAAAACATGGTTTTGGATTCAGTGTTCTCCAGTATTGCCCAGTCCATGATGTAATCAAATCTCTCATGTGTGAGGCAAACAAAGTTCTCATAAAAATAAAAATTGAAAAGCCAAATACACGTCATTTGGAAAAAGTCAAAAGAAACTTCTAAATGTTTTGTTATATCTTTCCATATTCTGTTTATAGATAACTTGGGGAACATTTTTTCTACTATGACCACAACCATTGTGGTTGAATTTTAACATACAAAAAAGTATCCTGTATTTAATGAATTTTCACTTTACCTGAGGAAAGAATAATAATAATGGTAAGATGCAAAGGACTTTAGGTGATCATTAAGTCACTTCCTGGTCCAGGGGCAAGGCAACGTTATATAATCCCAGAAGGAACATGAACAGACCCCTTTTAAAGCCATATATATATACTCTTGTCGTCCAGGCTGCAGTGCAGTGGCACTATCTCAACTCACTGTAGCTTTGACCTTCCAGTCTCCAGCGATCCTCCCACCTTGGCCTCCCAAAATGTTGGAATTACATGTTGGCCAGAATTTAAACCTTTTTAAATTCTTCATTCTCTGTGATTTCAAGTTTAAAAATTAAAAGATACATTCATGAAATAAATAACTGACCACAACATAGTGGAGGAATAACTTGGAATTCAAACTCTCCCACTCTCCTTGCATTTTGCCATAGAGAGCAGGACCCTGAGGTCTGCCTCCTGGTTAATGATCCACTGGCACTGGGACTCATGCTCTGCCTCCTCCTTCTTGCCTGTTGGGTTGGTTGGTTTCTCCACCTAACTGCCATCCAACTCCTCAGACTCACTACTAACTTTTCAGTCTATGTGCTACATCTTCACGTTTATTTTCAGTAAACCTTTTCTATACTCAATTTTCAAAAATACTTTTGTCTTTTCTAGGAATGTTATTACTTGAAAAAACAAAATTAATAGTAGAAAGATCTATTTTTCTATGTACTTATTTCCAGGAACATCTGAGAACAGAACTCAAAGAAGTCAGGAAGACCTCTAATGAATATACCTCATTGAAAATATTTTGGGGGTCAATGTTTCAGCAGAAGCAGCATTAATCATGAAACTGTATGGTGCACTTTTAGTCAAATACAATAACTGATATTACTATCTGATATATCATTTCATCACTGTCTACTGAGAGAATGTATTTTATTTTATATATGTATCTAATTTTACATATAATGAACACTGAGATTATATATATATATATGTTTGTGTGTGTATATATATATGGCATATATATATATATATCAGACACTGAGAATGCTCTATATTTGAAAGAAGTCCAATTCAATTTTTATTTCCAATTTTTAATGTGCCATACAAAAGAGGTAGATAACACAGAAAGCCTTATACATTTTTAAGAGAAAAAAATCCAATTTTTACTCTTATTTTACTTTCTTTTTCTACATATCATCAAAAAAACATACTTTAACTTGGCTCTCAGTGAACTGACATGCTTGCTTAACTGAATAGCAGTTTCACCAGCAGAGGCAAGATAACTAATATCCGTGGTAAAAATCATTTCTGATGTTTCCTGGACTCATGAAAAAGCCACCACAGACACTACAAACTCAATAGTTATATCCAAATATGAGCTGCAATACATTTGGAATTTCTCTTAAACATATATGTGTTCAACATATATATACATATATACACACACACACACACATATACACACACACACACAGTCATTAAAATAGGCTCACACACTATTAGCTACTAAAAAAAAAAAAAAACCCAGAACTTAATTCTATCATATAAATGCAAAAATAGTCTTGGACCCTTTTTTCTACGTTGTTCTGTTCCTTGTTCTTTCCTTCAAAATATATATTTAGAATTTGCTTAAGGGCATTATGAAATCAATCATGGGAGTAATTAAACTAATTAATTAGAACTAATCATAGTGTCATCTTGCTGAATTTCTTTATAATGAGTTGTGGATTCAATGTCCATAGGTCATTGTAGTGTCCCCGCACTGGCCTGAAAAGCATGCCATGCAGCCATGTCATCCTGACATGCCACTTAACCTTTCCTCCCTCCCATAGGTCCATGGTTCTCTCCTGAGCACCACCAATGTCCTAGGCAGTGTGCTGGCAAAGAGGATGAAACACAGTCCTAACTAAAAGGAAATGGGGATTTTGGAGGTGAGACCTGCAAGTTAGCAGGATGACAGCCCCATTTGGTACCCGCTGTGGTGAGAAGTGAGGAGAGAGGGCTGTGGGCCATCCTTAGGTCAGATAACCCTAAAAAAACCAGAGAACCCAAAAAAAACCCCTAAAAAACCCTTAAAAACCCAGAGAAAACAAACAGAGGCTTCCTGGTGGTGACACTGGAACTGAATCTGGAAAGCCCATGTAGTTGGTAACCAAGCAAAGCCAAAACACCCCAGAGGGAAGATACAACAGAACAGCTTTTCAGAAAAGCTTACTTTAGTTGGTTCTAAGTGTGATCTAGAATCTAAACATGGAGCATTGGTATATGAAGTTGAACCAGAAGGCAGGGGTCAGTTTTGAAGGAATGGTATTCCACGCTTAGAATTGTGGACCTTATTAATCAGGCCAGTGAATCACAAGTCAGTCCCGGGAGATCTTCGAGGAAGGGAAAAAAAAAAAAAAGTTTCAGTGCCTAAACAAGTTTGGTCAACATTGTCTATAAAAGGGTTTGAGAAGTCCTGCAGAAAAGGCACCATTTGTGTTGAACCCAGTATGTCAAACACATGATTGTGGAACTCCCTGTTCTTTAAAATAATGCCAATTACAACAGGCTGAGCTAGTTGTTCATGGCACAGACTTTGGCAAATGCTGCTGTAGGTAATGAGAAACCATTGAGAGACATTAAGCAGATGGCTTTAAAAAGATCCCTTGCTTTGCCAACAGTGTGAAAATGAATGGAAAGGGAGCAAGACCAAAAGGAAGAAGCCAAGGCAGGACGCTTTGCTCTTTAAAATTAGAGAATGAAAGGGAATGGTTTCTAAGCACCTTCCAGTGTTAGCATCCCGTGATACTAAAAATAAAGCCATTTAAAAATTGATCTCACAATCATCCAGAAACAATTGCTGCAAATGGGCAATAAACATTTTTGTTTCTTAAGTGCATTTAGTCCTTTTAAAGGTGACCTGTACGATGAGCTATTCTGCTACTGAATTGTAAAACCGTTACTGAGTGAGAGCAGTCTTCTGAAGCATTTATTACATCTGGGGATGCCTCCCTAAAAATTACAATATATTTAAAATATTAAAGTTGAATTGCTTTCATACTGATTATTATCGCTATTCTTTCATTTTAGCTTCCCCAGTCTATTATGTAATATTATATCTTGCTGGCAAATGTCATTCTCATTCCCACACATTATATGACCTTTCCATCAATTGGTTAGGACATAAATCATAGAGATAACTGTCTGGCCATGTGTATACATTATGATGCCAGATGATTAATATTACTGAACACAAATTTTAAAGCCATTTAGTGACTCTCTTTTATTTCAGGAAATAATTTAAAAGTGTTTTTAAAAGTAGTATTATCTTCAAGAACCTGTGCCAAGCTAACTAAGACATGGCAGTCATCTTCTTTCTGAGTCCCATAAGGGTTTCTAACAGAATAGTGAATCCCATGCCTTTTTAAGAGGCTTTCTAGAGTCAATATTGACGGTGGAAACCTAAGAGGAGTGGCTCTACTGGGTGTCACTCTGTTACATTATGAGGCTTTATTATTGGCAAGCAAACTGACTAGGAGCTAGTAAGGCCAGGCTTATTGGCTGTAAAAGTATACATCCCAAAGGAAGACTTAACTGCTCTCAAGTCCTTAATGGATCACCTGTTGGTTACATTTCCAATTTAGTCCCGTTGTGAGAACTCTAAGAGAGTACTCAAGCGACTGAAGCTGATAACAACAAATCAGGTAACCACAACCCTTCCTCCTTGAAATTAAAAACAGCCTAGCAGGCAAATATGTTGCTAAATACTTTTAAGTAGGTAGGCATCTCTTACTAATTGTGAATTAACATCTGTATTAGTCTCCAAATAAACTAATCAATATGTGCTTTTTTTTTTCTTAAGGCTTTCAATCCCACTCTAATTTCAACAGATTGGAATAAATGATACTACAGCTCCCTGTCCTGCAAAAATGTTAGCCTGAAGTTTCAATGACTTCTTGCTTGCTCTTCCTTCCTTGGATCTTAGGAAATGTCCTTTCATTGTTTCATTGTTTTCACTGCCCATCCCACAGGCCTCAGCTTCAACCCCACTTCCTGCATGAATAAAACTCAACTGTTACCATCCACAGGCACTTGCACCCAATGCACCTGTCTTGCTGTTCTGCATCCCAGTCCCACTTAGAATCCCTTAAACAGCTAGTTTCAGTGATTTGCCAATGCCTGTCTTCACAGTGTCTGGTACACAGAGGTACCAAGCGAATTGACAAGCAGTGGGCTTACAACTTCCTGTATTCTCTCTCTTGGTTTTCCACACTGCACATGTAGTGAACTTAGGGAAGCTGCTACTATTTCCAGTATCAGAGATTTTTAACTTGGACTTCCCGTTTCTCACAAAATAGAGGATTTTTCACAAGGTAGGAAGTTTTAAAATCACAAGAGATGCCAGATGAATTTACATCATAATCTATGGTTACTACTCTGTCCCCGGCATTGCAATACAATGCCTTTTCTTTCCATGAAGTAAAAAAATGAAAAAAATGGTCCTGTTATGGTGGCACTGGGGCAAGCTACTTAGAAATCCAGTGCAAGAAATACACTTGTATGACTTTCTTCTCTCTTGGCTCATCTTCTTGTTTATAAAAAATGGTGATTGTTCAGGCAATAAGAATTGCCTACAAGATTATGCCTCATGGCAGGGCTCCATCTGAGAAAAACTGCTCACAATGTTAAAATAAGTCAGAGTAATATCTCAAAATGAAGAATTATCTTATTCGAATAACAGGGAAAAGGGATTGTTCGTATAAGTCACCTTGATCTTAGGTTGAAATCCATTACATGTATCTAAGTGTTTCCAGGTAAGCAGCCTACGTTTTACTAGCTGTATGAGTTTCTTAATACTGCCATGTCAAACTATCATGAACTTGATAGTTTGAAAGAAGAAAAAGTTAATCGTTCTCTTTTCAGAAAGCCAAAAGATCAGGGTAGGCAAGGCTGAGCTCCCTCAGGAGGCTCTTAGGGAAGGATCTTTCTGTGCCTCTTGCAGCCTCTGGGGGCTCCAGGGGTTGCTTGGCCTGTGGCTGCACCACTCTAATGTCTGCTTCCATATTCACATGGCGGTCTCCTTTCGCATGGCTTCTCTTCTTCTGTCTCTTAGAGGAGTGCTTGTCATTGGATTTGGGTCCCATCTAGATTAATCAGGGTGATTTCATCTCAAAAATCCTCAATTTATTTACATTTTCAAAACCTGTTTTGCAAATAAGGTCGTATTCATAGGTTCCTGAGATTGGGACAGGGACATGCGTCCATTCAACCCACTACACTATCAGGCAAGAAATTATTTAATATCATCATCAAATTTCCAAAAGCTCAAATATTTGTCTTTAACTCATCATGCTTCAGGAAGTTTAAGTGGCAACTTTTTACACAATTAAAGGAACATTTTGGCTATTTTAATAAGGAAGGGAAAGAATATTCCATTTGGCTTGTTTGATGTCAAGGTAAAAAGAATAAAATTAACTTGTAACCCTTTAAAAATGATTTACAGTTGAGAGCAGGAGTCAAGCATAAGTGACTGAATTTCTTGCAAGATTCCATGCCAGGGAGAAATTTTCCATGAGGGCCACAGAGCTTTCTCATTTTGAAAAGGAAGTGGAAAATGTGGCAAAATCATAAGAACAAATGTATTTATTCCAAGTTATCAATAATTGAAAATATTTTACATTTCAAATCTAAACTCAAAAAATAGCCCACGGTGTCTATCATGCAAGTCAAATGACAAGATTTTGAAAAGCAAGGAACTTCCCTTTAATATTAAAAGCAAAAAAGCTACAATTTTATACAAGTCTGTTAATTGATCAAGTTCTAACTCAAGCCGTGGAGTTTTCTCTGATACCAGGCTAAGCTGTTCAGCAGTCTCTGCTATGAATTAATTTTTAGATGAATAGGAAATGCTCAGAAAATGATCAGAATACAAATTTGACAGAAAAAAAAAAAAACAAGTCCTGGCTGGGTGTGGTGGTTTACACCTATAATCCCAGCACAAGGCCAAGGTGGGCAGATTACTTGAGGTCAGGAGTTCAAGACCAGCCTGGCTAACGTGGCGAAATCCTGTGTCTACTAAACATACAAAAATTAGCCTGGCATGGTGGCGGGCACCTGTAATCCCAGCTACTCGAGAGGCTAAGGCAGGAGAATCACTTGAACCTGTGAGGCGAAGGTTGCAGTGAACCAAGTTCTTGCCACTGCACTCCACCCTGGGTGACAGAGTGAGACTTTGTCAAAAAAAAAAAAAAATCCAGAACTTCAAGTAAAGGGGCAGAACCCACCCTTTATATAATTAGGCATTGCTTTGAGTAATGCAGATTTCTTGACCATGGATTTTTCTCTCTCTCTCTTTGATTTACATCGTCTGGAATTATCTGGTCTATATCATTAAAAATTTGAAGTATTCTAGCAATAATTTTCACATAACATGGCTTCTGAAAAAAATTTTACCTCTTCTGTTATGTCAATAATCCTCAAAGAAATAAATGTTTAGCTATAGTTAGATACACAGCTTTTTATTTAAGCTACTTTTAGCCACATACCAAAATAGATCTGTATTTTGACCAAAAATGTCTCTTAGCCAGTTTCATACTTTATATATTTGCAAAATAGACACAGCGGCTGGAGAGACAGACTGAACACATGTAAACTATTTCTTTTTTTCAAATACAGCATTGTTCCAAAAAAAAAGTTATTTTGAATACTGTAGCAACATTATTCCATATTTCTAATGTCTTCAAAAGAAAGTTATATTATAAATTATTAAAAGAAATAAGTATGAATAATTTAAGTCCGATTTCCACAGTTAAATATACAGAGTTAAAGGTCAGCAGACAGCATAAACCATAATGTGCTGGCACTTTCTGTTGGACCAGCTCCTTTAAAAATGATTTATCATATGTCTATTGTTGATGGCGTACATCCTTTTAACACAATGCTGATCTAACTCTGACATGATTTTAGTGAGTGAGAATTATTTAGTTTCAAATTTGGTTTTAAATGAAAATAAAGACACATTAAAAGAATAAAAGACACCGTGTTTTTAAATGAATCAAAATATACTATATTTCAGAAATCATCATGAAATCATCCTTATCATCATTATTACAATACATACCATTTTTAAACGTTGGCTCTATGAGGCACTGTGCTAGATGCTTTATATATATTACAACACTGAAGGACAAAGCCCCATGACAACAGAGTGAAGTAGGCATTTTTGTCTGCATTGATAAAATGGATGTTCAGACAGGACTGCAATTTTTCCAGCCAGATTTCAAATTTAGCACAAGGAGTTCCCATGCCCTTTTTCAGTTGGAATTCATTTGACCTTTTTTTTTTTAAAGTATAAATTGAAAATCAAATTTAAAGTCTTAGAAAATCAAAACTGTTAGATTGAAAAGATATGTATTCATTGGGAAATTTGTGGCAAGAATCTTTAGGTTCATTAAGAGATTTGCAACTTATATCATTATTTATTTGCTCACAGATTTTTCTCTGAAAGTACAATCAGGAAAATGTTTGCTCCAGCACTTGATCACCCTCCCCTAAATCCACATGTATTCAGTAAGGAAAGCTACCTGGAAAAGCAAACAATAATAGCTTCAGTTCATTCAACAATTAGTATATGCTGAGTTGAGTGTTCTGCTCTTTTTCTCTTTTTAATTTTTCAATCTTTACATTGAAGATTGAGCCAATTGCCTAATTGTTAAAGGAGAGCCTGACTTACGGGTATAGCACTGAGGACTTAGTAGGTTTTCAATATTAGTTGAGGGAATAAATGATTGATCTTCGGCCACATCGTGTGGCAGATATCATTTATGGTACTTATCATTAAAGTGGCTCAGTCAAGACAGGATGAAGTTAACTTCACTCTTTTGTTTCTGAATTACATACATGACAAGATTTAAATCACTGCATCCACACAAGCATAGTATCGTTTCTTCAGTACTCAAAAACGACAGACTATGAGCTTTCCTAACCCATTATCTCTTCTGTCCCACTCTTACAAAACTTTTTCTCTTAGCAACAGCTTTCATTAAATGCTATCCTTTACTATAAGACAATATTTCTTTATTAGCATGCTATATTCTATCTTAACTCTTTCTGTCTCTTTTCATTATTATAAAACTTACAATATAAACACTAAGAAATGCAGAAAGTCCTTCACTAAACATATGTTTATGCACACACACATACACACACACAGTCTTTTTCAAATCCTTCCAGAAATGTCTAGGTACATAAGCGTATCCCTGCATAGTTATCTATAGACCTATATTAATATATGTAGAAAACCTCCACACACTTAAAAACACAAATGAGATAGTACTTTACATAGAGTGCTGCAAATTGATTTTTACATTTATCAATATATCTTGAACTTCATTTCAAATCAGTTCAATTATTTTGCATGGCTGCATGGCTGCATATCATTATGGATATACCATTACTTATTTACTATTTTTGCCATTGGTAATTGGGTGTTTTCAGGTTTTTGCTATCACAAATAACAATGCAGTAAACATTCTTATACTTAAAGGTTGCAGATTCATGGGCGTGTATGCCTAGGATAAATTCCTAAAGTAGAATTTCTGGGCCAAACAGTAGTGTGTGAAGACAAGTGTGGGTGCTCTACCCTGATAGCTGATTGGGCCTCTGAAAATAATGAAGCTACATTCACTTTGAAGAGAAGTATATGAGGTTTCTTCACATTTTTTCAACACTGAGAATAACAACTGTTTAAATTGTTGCTGATATGACAGTTGAAAATGTGAATTATTATTATGTTTACTTTAATGTCTGTCAATTTAAGAAGATGTTCTCTAACAGAAATTTTTAATTCAGAATACTTGGCATTCTCTAATCCAAGTAAAAAGAAAAATGTTTAGAAAGTGGCTTGTGTGCCAGGCGTGGTGGCGCATGCCTGTAATCCCAGCTACTCAGGAGGCTGAGGCAGGAGAATTGCTTGAACCCGGGAGGTGCAGGTTGCAGTGAGCCGAGATCACATGACTGCACTCCAGCCTGGGCGACAGAGTGAGACTCTGTCTCAAAACAAACAAACAAACAAAATTGGCTTGTGTGCAGAGTATGCTTCCTGAAGATGGCAATAATGATAGAAACATGTGTAATAGTAATGACACTGGAAACATCATGGGTGTTTCACTTATTTGTTTCTATCAAATGGTATGTTTTTCTAAAAAGCCATCCATCTACATTTGCCAAATCAGTTTCCCTTAACAAGGGAAATGCTCTGATTTCCAAAAATAATAGTCTACCTAGTGACAAATACCTGTATATGTGCTTTTCTTAAGTTAAAAAATAAAAACGAAAAAGTTCACTGAATCCCATGCATTTTTTTGTTTATCTGCAGCTAACGGGCTTTTTAAAAGCATGATCTTGAAAATTAAAAATGCAGTTTACATGGCTGAATAATCACAGCAGGTGATTACTATATATGGAGTTTGAGAATTGCTCCCTACCTTATTAAATTATTTCAAAGTACTTAGAATAAATTTAATTTAGAATAAATTATATAGTTATATCCTTATCATTTTTTATTGTTTACCAAGTAAATTTTATTTCCTAAAAGTGTTACAAACATTTTGAGCAATCTTCAGAACCATATAAAATAACACTGTCAGTATTATTCTAACATTATACAGAACAACGACTAATGCTGAGAGTGTTACTCAAGTCACAGATCTGGAAAAAGACCAAAATCCTGCTTTGAGGACTTCCATGCTCTTGCCTCCTCTAGCTCTAGAATTTTAGAATAATAAAATTTGGTTTTGGTAAGGAACTTATAGCCTAACTGGTTCAGCTACTTCTTTTGCAGGTAAAATCACTTCATTTTATGCATTTTTACCTATACATCTAGCACAGTCCTTGCTATTAGTGGATGATTCTATTTAATAGAAAGATGAAGTGACTTGTCCCATTTTAAACAAACTTCTTGTTGTGTAGACAAGAAAGCTGTGGAAGATTGTCTAGATTACGTTTCCTGACCCTGAAGTTACTATTTCTGTTTTCATCACTTCAAAAGAAGGTACAATACAATTTTACATTAACAAAAGCAACTGCTATTATTGCATTTAAATCTCAAACATAATATGATTAGATTAACTTTAAAATCCATTATTATTCAGAGACGGATCTGTCTTAGAGGCAGATATATCTACTCAGACAGAAAGGGGATATAATAAGACTGTAAACACAAAAATTAAGTACATAAGCTTAACAGACCTTTAATAATCTGTCTCAGCATCTGCTAGATTTTATTTAAAAAGGAATTTATTATGGGAGAAAAGTCACTTCATATATGAACATCAACTTGACACATAGTTGTAAATGCATCTTCTGCCCAAGGTGCCATGCTATGGGCTATATGTGATTCCAATTCAAAACAATTATATGATAAGGTCCAGTGAGTTGAACAGTTCCATGTGAAAATTACCTGTATTACTTTATAAAACTTATCAGGAAAAAAAATTATAATAAGTCATAGGAGGCTTTTTATGTCTAGCTTTCTGTTCTGTACTGTCAGTCTCTGAACTCCTTAAAAATTGAGATTTTTTTTTTTTTTTTTTTTGCAACCAGTCACTGGCACAGGGTATTTTCAAAGTAAACATTTGTTAATGCCTAGGTGAATGAATAGATCCCACCAAATGTCATTTTTCTATCACAGTGATTCGCAATCCTGGCTGTATATTAGAATCACCTGGTTAGCAATAAAAATAATGATATGCTCACCTGACTTCACCAGAATTCTGATTAACTCTATTGAGTAATCAGGGCACATGCCTAGGTGTTTTGTTTTTTGTTGTTGTTTTAAATTTCAATTTTTTTTCTATTTCATTGATTATCCTGGTGTCCCATTAGGAATTATTCCTAGAAGAATATCAAGTTCAAGATATTACAAGACATAAGCAAATAGGGAATTGCTGCTTGGAGACACATGCTTGGTGGAAAATATACCCAAACTAGCATTTCAATTTAAAGTTTAACTTGAAATGTAGAAGTTTTTTTTTTGTTTGTTTGTTCGTTTGGCTTTTTTTGAAAGACGTCTCGCTCTTGTACCCCAGGCTTGAGTGCAATGGCTCAATCTTGGCTCACTGCAACCTCCGCCTCCCGGGTTCAAACGATTCTCCTGCCTCTGCCTCCCAAGTAGCTGGGATTAAGGCACCTGCCACCACACCCAGCTACTTTTTGTATTTTTTAGTAGAGACAGGGTTTCACCATGTTGGCCAGGCTGGTCTCAAACTCCTGACCTCAGGTGATCTGCCCACCTCGGCCTCCCAAAATGCTGGGATTACAGGCGTGAGCCACCACCCCCAGCCTAAATGTAGAAGTATTTTGATAGCTCTTTCCTTTTTCCTCCCCGCTCCCTACCTTCCACCATAGGTACTGTTAGTTTTCAGTGATAACACATTAGCCCGAGTGACTTACTACAAGAAATAACATCAAATGCCTTATGTATTTATGAATAACAGAAAACTCAAGATGCAGGAAGGAAGAGAAACATATATGAAATTCACAAGCCTTGGAGAGCACAAGCCTGGGGCCAAAAAGCAGAAACAGAATTAGATGGATGACTTCTAACTCACATAGGGGATGATTTCATGCTAGTAGGGAGAATATACAAGGTTGTCTTTCTGAACAGTTTTGGGGACCGGCAGTATCCCACACAGTTTTTAGGGCAAAGCAAAGTTTAAGCTTAGTAACTAGTCATGGCTACTCTCATTGAAAAATAGCTGGCCCAGGCACAAAAGAACTCTGGAGTTATCTGAAACATATAGTGCCCCTCATTTTCTTCCTCCATGAAAGCCTATTTTAATTGTCTTCATTAGAAGACATACTATTCTCTTATATGCCTGTATAAAGTGATTAATCTGTAGTAAAGATTGGCAACCCCTGCCTCATAAATCCTTGACTAGAATATTCTTATGCCACTCACAAAATTTGATTACTACAAAGCACAGTTTGGCACCATTCCTTCGGAGATAGCATTGACATTTAGCCCATTTCTCTCTGGGTAGTTGAGAAAAATTACCCTATCACTCAGCCTTCCCTGGAGCCTTGTAGCAATACCAAGGTCTTGCTTCCTTTCTGTAAGTTATGAGATCTTTGTGTGTCCCATATTCCTCAGTTTCAAAGAGAGTTGATAAAAAGAAAGGTAATACAGGCAGAGCACGGTGGCTCACGAGCACAATCCCAGCACTTTGGGAGGTGGATCACTTGAGGTCAGGGATTCAAGACCAGCCTGGCCAAAATGGTGAATACCTGTCTGTACTAAAAATACAAAAATTAGCCGGGCATGGTGGTGGGTGCCTGTATTCTCAGCTACTTGGAAGGCTAAGGCAGGAGAATCGCTTGAAACCAGGAGGCGGAGGTTGCAGCGAGCCAAGATTGCTTCACTGCACTCCAGCCTGGGTGACAGAGTGAGGCTCTCTCAAAAAATAATACTCCTAATAAATAAAAAAGAAAAGGAAAAAAGAAAGGTAATACAGCACATTACCATAGCAGAACACTTGTCACTATTAAGCTTGTATCATCTTTGACCACCATTCTCTCATGTGTACATTCTTGTCTCCTTGCATGTACTACAGATGAGTTTACTAAGTCTCCAAGAAGTGCAGTAAATCTTTTCAGCTACCTTGCTGCAAATCAGGATCCAATGATAGTCTGCTCACTGCAGAGACTGTGCTCTATATTTCCTCCATTGAACCCAACCCTTGCTCCCATAGGAGAGAAGGTGCTTTTCATTTCCACTCATCTCAGATGGGTCATGAGCTATGTCAAAGAGCCTAACAGCCTGCTGCTATTGCATCATTTTGAAGGAAAAATAAATAGAAGCAGCACCTGTCAAGTCCCTTCTAAAGATCCAGTGTAAATTAAGGCAATCTCCTGGAAGATCCTCTTTAATGAGTTCAAAGGAGCTGTGCAATAATGGTTAGATATATATTATTCCTTAGCATCTCTCACCCTCAGCCCAAATCTAGAGACAACTCTAAAGAAGAACAGAAGAGTTTCCCAGAGGTGAATTCTAAAATGTAAATTGTATGCAAAGACTACAAAATGTGAACAGATTGGACAAACAGATTGACTCTCAAGGACAAAGCTTGAATTTATATATCCTTCCAGAATCATAGGTCCATGATTTTTTTAAAAAACTAAGCTTAACTAAATCTTAATTTTCTGCAAGTGTTTTTATGTCAGGTTTTACTACATTCAGAAGGGACAATAAAGAATTTAACACTTTAATCACTGCAACTCAACAAGAAGTACCATAAACATGTTAATCCATAATTTACTGACCTTCTGCGAGAAGCTAAAATTTTTTTCCATACCTACCTCAACAGGCCCTTAAAACATGTACATGGAAGAAAAATCAGGAATTGAAAAATAACATTGATAGCCAGGAAAATTGGTTCATAAGTAATTCAAAAGCTCTATTTTACTTCCTAAATTGTCTTGGAAATGAGAATTTTTAACTGCGTGCTTTTGAAAATGTTAAATGGCATAGTTTTTTTTCCAGATTAGGAGACTTTATTTAGCATAATAAAAAATAGACACAATATATTAAAGAGAGAAAATTATTTTTTTCAAATTTCTGTTCTTTCAGTTACAAAAGAAATGCCATGCTGATTATAGCAATAAAAAGAGAACAGTTTTAAGTTTCTAACATACAATGAAAGGATAACTCTCTGCCTCTACTCCAAAACAATCTCACATTGTCAATGTTAATCTACATTGTTAAATATACATATATATACACACACATATATATATTTCCTTTTTTACTGTCAAAATTGCTTTGAGGTTTAAACATAAAATACGTTTACTTTAAGATGCTTACTGAGAGAATAGACAGAGTCACAGGTAATGAAGTTAGATTACCTAAATAAAATTATCACTTTGTTAATACACAGGTTAGAGACCATGGTCAAATTACTTAATATCTCTGTGCCTCAATTAACTATTGATAACATGAGAATAGGTTCATGTGAGAATTAAAGAAGATATTATATGTAATGAATCCCCAGTAGAAGCGAGAGGATTGATAGCATTATAAAAGCTAGATGTATACAGCTATGTTGATTGATCTGCATTGCTGCTTTTTTAAGAAAAATATCCCATTAAGGGAATTGTAGGACAATAATTTGATTACCAAATGATTCAGTTCAGGTCATATATAATTAGGATGCCAAATACTCCTGGTTTACTCTAATTAAGTAACTAAATTCCTGGGACTCATGACTTTTGGTACTAAAACTGTTAGTGATAGAATTCTCATACAGATTGAGAAGAGTTTGTCCCTCTAAGCAAAATAGTAAAAGAATAGTACGATGGAGAGAAACACAGGAAGTAAAAGCCATTTAATTGCTGGTATCTTTAGACCATCTTTACATGGTCATACATTAGAAATAACATACCCTTAGGGAACTAATCCACAAAAAGAGAAGACCAAAGGAGGACACTATTACAGACCCTACAGATATTAAAAGAAAAATAAATAATGGGCTATCATGATTAATTTTATACTAACGAATATGACAAATTACAAAATAAACAAACTCCTTGAAGAATATAACTTACCAAAACTGAAGAAGACAGAAAATCTGAAAAGCCTATGCCCATCAAAGAAAATGGATCAGTAGTTAATAATAAACCTTTCCATTAAGAAAATTCTCTATGCTTTTACTGATGAAATTTACCAAATATTTAATGAACCATTAATGGTGACATCACATATATCTTTCTGAAAACAAAGTAGGAAAAATTTTTAACTCATTTTATGAGTCTCGTATAATGCTGATACTGAAATCTGACAATCATATCATAAAAGAAGGAAATTGCTGACCTACATCCTTCATGAACACAGATACCAAAATCCTCACAAAATATTAGCAAAATTAATGTTTTTAATATTAAGTATGTTTTATAATATGCTATAATATTTAATATTAGTAATAACTAAATACTGACAATATACCAATATGATAATACATTGTAAGGTAGAGCTTATCTAAGAAAGGCAAAAGTGCTTCAATATTTGAAATCAATCAATGTAAACTATTACATTAACAGGGTAAAAAATAAAAAAAATAAGATTTTTTTCAGTACTTGTAGAAACAAGATTTGACAAAAGAGTGACATGACCAAACACTGGAAAGCTGGAAATACAAATTTCTGGTAAAATTGTAAGATGGTAAGACTTTTGGAAAACAGTTTGAAAATTTCCCATAAACATGCTTACTATTTTATCAAAAATTAATATGAGTTGATAAACCTACTATATTAATACAATAGAATAATTTCCTAAAACAACAAAATAATGTCATATACAGCAATGCAGATATATTTTAAAATATTTTGCTAAATAAAAGAATCCAAAGTATCAGTTATATGAATAGGCAAAAACAATGAATTGTAAGAGAAATAGATCAGTGCTTTTCTGAAGTGGAAGCAGAGAGAAATGATTGAAAATGTGGCACAAAGGAATTTTAAGGGGTGATGGAAATATTCTAAATCTTGATTGGATAATGTAAAAGTGATTATATTTATCAAAACTCATCAAATGTTACACTTAAAATGTATTTTTTCTTGCCAACATTTATTTTAGGTTCAGGGTGTACATGTGCAGGTTTACTGCTTTCTGCAGTGGCTGAACTAATTTACATTTCCACCAGCAATGTCTAAGCATTCCTTTTTCTCTGCAACCTCACCAACATCTGTTATTTTTTTATTTTAAATAGCCATTCTGACAAGTGTAAGATGGGATTTCCTTATGGTTTTGATTTGCATTTCTCTAATGATTAGTTATGCTGAGCATTTTTTCAAATGCTTGTTGGTTGTGTGTATGTCTTCTTTTGAGAAGCATCTGTTCATGTTCTTTGCCCATTTTTTTAATGGGGTTGTTTGGTTTTTTGTTGTTGATTTGTTTATGTTCCTTATATATTCTGGATATTAGACCTTTGTTTTGTGCATTGTGTGCAAATATTTTCTTCTATTCTGTAGGATGTCTGTTTACTCTGTTGATAGCTTATTTTGCTGTGCAGAAGCTCTATAGTTTAATTAGATCCCACTTGTCAAATTTTGTTTTTGTTGCCATTGCTTTTGCCATCTTTGGCATGAAATCTTTGCCAGGATCTATGTCCAGAATGATGTTTTCTAGGTTTTCTTCTAGGGTTTTTATAGTTTTAGGCTTTAGATTTAAGTATTTAATCCATCTTGAGTTAATTTTTGTATATGGTGAAAGGAAGGGGTCCAGTTTCAATCTTCTGCATATGGCTAGCTGGTTATCTCAGCATTATTTATTGAATAGAAAGTCCTTTCCCCATTGCTTGGTTTTGTTAACTTTGTTGAAGAACAGATGCTCATAGGTGTGCAGTTTTATTTCTGGGTTCTCTAACCCATTCCATTGGTCTATATGTTTATTTTTTGAACCAGTACCATGCTGTTTTGGTTACTATCACCTTGTAGTATAGTTTGAAGTTGGGTAATGCATGTCTCAAACTTTGTTCCTTTTGCTTGGGATTGCTTTGGCTATTTGGGCTCTTTTCTGATTCTGTATGAATTTTAGAATAGTTTTTTCTAATTCCATGAAAAATGTTTTGGTAGTTTGATCAGAATAACATTGAATCTGTACATTGCTTTGGGCAGTATAGACATTTTAACCATATTGATTCTTCCTATCCTTGTGCATGGAATGTTTTACCATTTATGTCATCTCTAATTTTTTTCAGCAAAAGTTTTGTAATTCTCATTGTAGAGAATCATTCATCTCCTTACTTAGTTGTATTCCTAAGTATTTTATTCTTTTGGTGGCTATTGTGAATCAGATTGCATCCTTGATTTGGTACTCAGCTTGGATGTTATTGGTGTATAGAAATGCTAGTGATTTTTGCACATTGATTTTGTATTCAGAAACTTTTAGAAATGTAAATTAAATCACAAAAAATGATTTTTTAAAACCCATCTCACTAGGAGCTTATTTGGTTGAGTTTGCTGCAAATATTAGATATATTCTCCCTAGTTCAGATTGATAGCCATATCCTCTGAAATCAGTAAGTCAATGTGATTTGTAAAGCAGAAATGAGTGAAAACTGGATAGTCAGGCTACCGTGCCTCTAAGAGGTAAGTACATTTACAGAAAATACAACAGTCTAAATAAAGTACAAACCATATGTAGAAATATAACATTATCTTTCTGTGGGACATTCTGATGTGCTCAGTGTTACAATGGTCCAGGTATAGGAGAGATAGCATTATAGTAATGATGAAATAAATGCTGCTTTCTTAACATTGTTCTCATTGGTATACTTATAAACCTACTTTAGGGGTAACATTTTAGTTTGGTAATCATTTATTTTCACTATAAAATCAATAACTGCAAACATCTTTCAAAATTATTTGATGACTTTCTTGTCTTGATTTACTTGCTGACACCGTTTACATTATCCAATATGTTTCTTTTTGTATATCTTCACAATTATTTCAAAATTAGCTGAAATAATTTTAACTAATTCACTAGCTAATTTTTAAAGGTTCTAAAACATGAACCTACTGTTTGCTATAATTCCAGTTTTCCTTATGGCTCTTTAACCAGTTTTAACAAAAAATTGACAAGGTCTCAGGTACTTTAAAATTTTACTTCTTGCTGTTCATCTCCCTAGTACAAATTATGAAGATGGATATGAATATTAGCAATACTTTAAAAATATATTTTATCAAAAGAATAAATTCATATACGCATACATATAAAATGATCAAGTTAACCATTCTATATATGTATGCCATTCTCCTACTACAAGACCATCATTTGACATTTTGGTGAAAACTGTGCTGTAAAACGATAACCAAGCTAATTTAGGAAAGCCAAGTTCCCTATTTCATTGTTGTTATATGTAAGTCTTGTGAATTTAACGTAACATTTTTAGATTCTACTTGTGGCAGGTGTTAGCAGAAAAATTGACTTTACTAGTTGCCATTGTACTTTTCCACACTCCCCTCCTCCAAATTTAACTGATTTGTTAGTATACACATAGATTTTTCAGGGTAAGTTTCCTGTTCTTTCCCCCATGCATAATTTCCTTGATATAGAATCTTCACAACCATGGTTGTAAAAAATGTTTAAACAGAGAATATTTTGGTGTGTTTGTAACTGGGATCCATCATTCACTGACATTCCACCAAGAGGCTATATTTAAACCTTTACACCGCCTTGCCTTATCAAAGGAGCAGTTTGGCATTTGGTATTTGGAGACAGCTATAAAGCTGCACCATCTGTACCACTCTGTTTCAAGAGGGACATCAATTTTTATCCTTGTTGGATCCTGCAGGAATACTCTGCTAAAACTCAGCACAGGCATGACTCAGTTATAATTCAATCATCTAACTGTGGCCAAGGGTATATGTGGCAATGAAAGCATTTGTGTTCATATATCTGGGGAAAAAAAGAAAACTGTTGTCAAATATTCAGCCACAGATGCATGAGATTTCTAAGTCACAATGACTGATAAAATATCTGGTTATGGGCCGGGCGCGGTGGCTCACGCTTGTAATCCCAGCACTTTAGGAGGCCGAGGCGGGTGGATCACGAGGCGAGGAGATCGAGACATCCTGGCTAACACAGTAAAACCCCATCTCTACTAAAAATACAAAAAAAAAAAAAAAAAAAATTAGCCGGGCATGGTAGTGGGCGCCTGTAGTCCCAGCTACTCTGGAGGCTGAGGCAGGAGAATGGCGTGAACCCGGGAGGCGGAGCTTGCAGTGAGCCTAGATCGCGCCACTGCACTCCAGCCTGGGCCACAAAGCGAGACTCCATCTCAAAAAAAAAAAAAAAAATCTGGTTATGTTGATGTCTTTGGATTCATATTGGAAGTTTGCTTTTAAGAAAATATTCTAGGCTCCACTGGAAAATAAAAGGATATTTATTTATAGATGGGGTTCTATTGGGGAAAGCAACATGTAGTTACCTAGCCTGGTACTTAATTTGCCACGTTGAAATTTGATGTGTTCTAACTACAGAAATCATAGACTTTCTTCTATTTCTATAAAAATAATTACTTAATCACATTTGTAATCCCAGCACTTTGAGAGGCTGAGGCGGGTGGATCACCTGAGGTCAGGAGTTCAAGACCAGCCTGGCCAACATGGTGAAACCCCATCTCTACTAAAAATACAAAAATTAGCTGGGTGTGGTGGCAAGCACCTGTAATCCCAGTTACTCTGGAGGCTAAGGCAGGAGAACCGCTTGAACCCAGGAGGCAGAGGTTGCAGTGAGCTGAGATCACGCCACTGCACTCCAGCCTGGGCAACAGAGTGAGATTCTGTCTCAAAAATAGTAATAATAGTGAGCCAAGATGGCGCCACTGCACTCCAGCCTGGGCGACAGAGTGAGATTCTGTTTCAAAAAATAAATAAATAGTAATAATAATAATAATTACTTAAAGTGCAAAAACTAATCACTTGGTGGATCAGAACATCAGAGAACTATAAGGAAAAGAAAAATGATGGTGCATCAGTGCCAAGTTAAAAGATCATTCAGCATTAGAAGGAGGGTCTACAAATAAACAGAAAAGAATGGTCCCAACTAACCGTTATTTCTTCTCAACATACAAAATGAATATATGAGCTAAAACAACATGTGAAATTCAAGTTTTGCAATGGTAATGCACCATTTCCTGGCTGTGAAAGTGATAAAACATTGGAATGAGTGACAGAGTAAAACAGATTTCCGCTTCTCTAGGCGGATAAAAGTGTGATGTTGCATGACTAGAGAACTGTCTCACAATGGCCTATCCAAATTTAAAATGCCTTATTTTTATGAATTTCTTTGAGGTAAAATTATAAGTAACTAAAACTATTTTTATTACTTGACAATTTCTGATACTCTGATGGTTCCTAAAGGAGTCTGGATTTCCTAAGCCTGAAAAGAATTTAACTTGGAGCTTTGAGATTAAATCTACTCAAAATTGACAGTAAACTTTAACTTCCTTAATCTCCCTGAGTCTATTTCTTATCAGAAAAATATATATTTTTTTTAAGTTTAAAATCATATATATATGTACACACACACACACACACACACACACACACACACACACGGCCATATACTTCATAGGATTATTGACGACATTAAATTTAAAATTTAAATTCAAATAAAGTGTTTGACACAATGCTTATGTTATGAAGAAGGTGAAAGCATGCTTGTGAAAATGGCATGGTGGACTGCCAAAAGCCGAGATTCATTTACATACTTAACGTTTTTTAGAGTTCAATTATCTTTCTGGTGTCACTTGCTCTTAGTCATGACATATGCATATCCTTATTTAAGGAAGAATATAATTTAACATGTGATTTCTTTTGATTTACAAGATTTCTTCCAGAAGCCTAATACAACCTCTAATACATTCTAGGATTCCATAGACATACAAGAGAGAAACTTGCATATGATATTGATAACTATAGGATACTTTCAGGGAAGCCAGTGGTGCCCAAGGGAGAGAAACTGAGGTGCGCAAACCACTGACAGCATTCATCATATTCTGACAGCTGCCTAAACAAAGTGTCTGGTTCTCTCTCTAAAAGCCACTGCTTTATGTGTAAATGTACCAGGTGCCTAAATACAATATGTAGTATACATGTGTCTTCCTGAATCAGTATTCAGGTGTTTCTCCCTAAGTATCTGAATATTATAAGTTGCATAGAAAGAGACATAAATGTTATGCTTTTAAAAGTAGGCTATCCTGACCCAAATTTAAGTAGCTTAACTGCTCCAAGTAAAATCACTGTCTTTGGCAGATGTATTTTTATACCGAAAGTCAAATGAACTGTTCTAACACATAGACAAAATGTAACATTCAAAGTCTCACCAAATAACCCCTGAAACAAAAATATCCATTTTGTTAAACATTTATTTATTGCCTACCTATCAAACTCAGAAACACAGCATGTCATATGGAAAAGACCATGTTAGTGCTTGAAATGAGGATGGGGGTGGAGGGAATGACAAATCACTCCTGGAAGTTTAAACCCAGTTTCTCCTATAGAAATGGATGGAGACAATTAAAGGTATGTCTTGACTGCATATTGCAGGATAGAAGGGGACAGAGTTGAAAACTCAAAAGCCACTGTTTCTACCTCCACTGGGCAAAAATGCAATTCCTAACAAGGGTGTTAATAAGCATAACTTGAAACCTAATATGCCCTAATAAACTGGCTGAATTTGGTGGAATGCTCTTGTTATCTGAGTTCAGTTAATGCACATATAATTATGGGTGCATGTTGACAGGGCAGGGGGCAGAGTAGAGGTAATGGGGAAAGACATAAGGTGAGTCTGTTGTGGAGACTAGAGTGAGATAATATTTGAGTTCTATGCATTAACATGACATTGGAAAAAAGATCCACCAAATTAATATTATAAAAATAAATTCACCGCTAATCAATATGCATGGATTAGATCCAAGACTGGAAAATATATGAAGATAGTTCTATAAAATCTTTAGACAAACAGGAAGAGGCAAAATGTATTTTTAATTTGTTTCTTGTGAACAAGTTATTGGAAAAAGTCAACTTTAACTGATTTAAAATGCCTGAGATCAATTAGGACTTCTATATGGTTTTACTTTTCTTAAACTGCAGTTTTAATGGTGGTTATGGTGGTTATCTTGTTTTTCCTCCATTAAGTTTAAATTTATCATTTAGCCCAGTGGTTCTCAGCCCTGGCTGCACAGTGGAATCACCTGGGAGCATTTAATGGATACCGATGTACAGGCCCTATGCCCAGGGATTCTGATTTAATTGGTCTGGAGTGGAATATGGACGTCGGTGTTTGTTAACGGCTCCCCAGGTGATTCTAATGTGCAGCCAGGTTTGAGAACCATTGATTTAGTTTTTAGGCCTTAGTTTGCAGGCTTGTGGAGCAACATACCTTGCCTGAGCTGGTGAAGCAAGGATACCACCCAGAAAGCCTGGAGACCCAGGCTTCCTCCTCACCTCCAGGTGCAGTGTCTGGTCTGCATTGTGTCCCTTTGGGAAGGAGCTGACTGCGTCGGTAGTTGTATGGATTATGTTAAGAAAAATTCTGAATTAGGTTCTGAAAGAGTCATTTGCCTCTCTCTGGTGGCTAAACCTGCACAATCTAAGTCAGGAGGTATTTGCAGGCAGGATTTACACCTTATGAAGAAAACTAGTTTGTAGCAAAGGAGAAAGGTGACATGTAAGTCGCTGGTTGTGGTTGCTTCCAAGGCCTGCCTACACCACTGACCTTCCTGAGGCTCAGCTGTTTCTTCAAACAGCTTCTTTTCTTTTCAGTTAATTCTGCTTTTGCTTAAAGAAAAAAAGAGAAAAGTTGTACAAAGCAAATTTTTTAGAATCTAGTTGGCATTTATTTCCTAAAGTAACGAAATGAAAAATGAAAAAAAAAAATAGGTAGATTCCAACCGTATTTTGGAAAAACTTCAGGTGGTTTTTCTATTTTGTTTTTAATAACAATTTTAATAATCTTCTGCATTTTTAAAGTATTTCATCTGAATGTCCTGCTGCTTTATTTATCCAAACAAAAATATGCAGAGTTCATTAAAAGGTGGGAGGTGGGTGATGCCTCTTGTGTTTGCACTTGCATATTTAGATGTACAGACTGAAGAAAGTTCTAATACTTGTGGGCTTCTTTGGTTTTTCACATATACTTAATGCTTGTTCATGAATGCACATTTTTCAAGGAAGTTTTAAAGCAGGAACATCTGCTAACCCACAATTAATAGTGCTGACAGTGTATCATCAAATTACACAGAAGCAGGTTAAAAAAAAAATGTGATTTTGAGGAAAACGATGACAGGTCTGAGAACAGAATGTAATCATCCAAAGGTGCACTTGTGCATCTTTTATATAGTCAATTATTTGGACTGAACTTAAAATACTTGAGATACCTATTAACGCTAACTGATTACTGAATTGACTAGGAATGTTAAAACAATAAGCTTATGTGGCCTTTTATCTGAGTAGTTAGTAACTATTGACAGTCATGGAAAATGGCCTTGATCAAAGACTTCTGCTACTACCTATTATGGTCAGGATTTTGCTATGTTTATGGCTGTTAACATACACATTTCTATCATGAAACTGTCTTCTATATTTTTTCATCTCTGTGTTCCCAGTGTGTTAGAAAGGCAGTATTTTTTTTCAGTTCGCAGCTTTGACTTTTTTTTTCCATTCCTTTGGGGAGCATGATTACAGTGAAGGCTCATTCTAAGGTTGAGGTATCTCAGAATGAGATCCTTTTGGCACTTGCCTAATTGACTAGCATTGTGTAAGAAGCCTAACAGATTTGTCTGAAACCCAGTTCCTTTCAAGAGCAAAAAGCTTGATGAATAAGGGTCTTTAATTTTGGAAAGTCAATTATTTAGATCCATCTATAATATTTCTTACATTGCTCTATCAAAATGTACTTGGGAAAATTAAACCATATTTACAAGTTTGGGACTAGAAAATGATCTTATGTTAATTCAGGTTCCTTAGATCTTGCCCTAAAAGAAAAAAAAATGTAGATTATTTGAATTGTAGCAGCAAGAGTTTGAGGATCCATGTATTTGGTAACCTGAACCTGAGAATCACGAAACATGTGAATTTTGTATCAAGTATTTTCATTTCCATTTTCTTTCTATAAGACAATAACTTTATCACAAATCTACTCCTGAAGACTTCATTATTTTATTTGAAGAATATTATACAACTCTTGAAATATGGGCGTCTATTCACCAGAACTATATGTAGTTCTGAACCACAGAATGTACTGTGAAATAAATTTACAAAAGACCTTGGATATTTAAAATATTGTGTTTTAGCCACATGACAGGAGTTGCTTCCCTTTTCCTCCAGTAATAATAGATTTCTGGTCTGCATAAGCATAACTGTCCAGAATTTTTTAACTGAAGCAGACTGCTGACTTTATGTACATATGTGGTACTTTATCTGCATCCTAAAATAATTCTCGAGTTCTCAAGGAAGAAAGCCAAAAAGAACTTTCATAAAACTTAACAGAAGCTAAATTGGCCTAAGAGTCTGAGTATTGTCATAAACAGCAGGGAATAAGATCTCACCATTTTTTTGCTGGACTTATTACTTCTGAAAAGACAATCTATGGTTTATGTATACCTATCCAAATGAAAAAAATATACCATGCGTTGTGTTTGATTTAGAGTCTATTTCACAACATGAGCTAAAACATGAGCTGAGATCGGGTCTCACTCTGTCGCTCAGGCTGGAGTGCAGTGGTGATTACAGCTTATTGCAGCATCTATGTCCTTGGCTCAAGCGATCCTCTAACTTCAGCCTCCTGAGTAGCTGGGATGACAGGAGTGAGCCACCAGACCAGGCTAATGTTTTTAAATTTTTGTAGAAACAGGTTTTTGCCATGTTGCTCAGGCTTGTCTCGAACTCGTGAGCTCAAGCAATCTGACCACCTCAGCCTCCCAAAGTGCTGGGATTACAGGTGTAAGCCACTGCACCTGGCCAATTTTTAAAATATATCTTATTGAACCAAATGAAATGGCTGATGTTTTTTACCTATAAAAATGGCAGATCCATATAGTTCAAGTTACCATTACTTGATCATGCAGAAAGAGATTACTAAAAGCCACATGCCATTTGTTGAATTTATTATATGCCATTAAGATTATCTCAAAAATTTTTAAATGAAAAATAAAAATGCTATGGGTCAAAGAAAAATCATTTATTGAATGTACTTTGACATTTACAGTGACCAAGCCTTAATGTACTACACCTTTTGGCAATGAATTTATTCAAAAAAGGCTTAAGAGACCTTGGGAAGAAAAAATAAGTTTTGCGTGACATGGGTGATGTCACTACATTAATTTTAGGTACCTTCTGACTCTATGACTCTGCATTTTGGGGTATAGCTATATTATCTCAGTGTATGCTACAAGATAATGCCTGGAGTATAAGCACTGATGCTTGGACTGAAATACGTGGGATTCTGACTGGATATAAAATTCCATGTTCAGAAGTTAATACAATAATCTTATTTGCCAGATTCTAATAGTGCAAACATTTTTATCAGTCTCTGCAATACTGCCTATGCAGTTCACAACTGTCAATGTCAGATCGTCAGTGTTTACAGCATTAAGAATCAGTGGCTCAAGGATAAAGATAATAAGATGTTAGATAAGTAAGGCCAAATATGATCACAAATCTCCCATTCCAGGATGTATGTCTAAGTTCATGCTACAATTTCAGTAAAATTATTCCTTATTTCCTATATGAATATATTTAATAATATCATCACTTTATTCTTTTGGGTTGGCAAATTCAACACTCAAAAATCAATTTTATTTTCTCTTCAGTAATTTTCTTTCATCAAGATACACGAGAAGCCTTACACCTGTATTATATGTGATTTCCATGTGTTCTCCATGACCTCTTAGCAGATGGGGCTGTAGATTGTTAAAAATTATGCTCAATCCCCATCATAGTCTCAAGAGAGGGAAATCATCCAATTAGCAGGAGCTCTTGTAGAAAGGCAGGGATGACATCAGTACCCAGGTGGAGGGGCTGGCTTTGGACAGCAAGAGTGTTGACAAGGGCAGTTCATGTATCTTTCTCCTCTAATGCCATCCCTGAACCATTTTCAAGGATGGTGCCACTCGCCACACTTTGGAAAGGAGTCCTTACAGCCCATTCCAAGGCAAACACTCCCGTGTTTAGGCAGCAAGATATTTGCTTTCATACCCCTGGTTAGAGGTGACTACACCAGGGAAGGGTGTCGGATTCAAGAAGACTGGTGGTAGCCAGTTCACTCATGACATGGTCTCTCAGGACTTTGAACAGAAAAAGACAGAGAGAGCCAGGCTATGGGTCCTGGGAGTAGAAACAGAAATGTGAGCAAGAATAGAGAAAGCAGTGAGCGAACTGAAATGGTGAATAAGCTGCAGTTGCAATAAGTGAAAGATTTGTCATTTGAAGTAAGTGATTTGACGTGACAGTTATGGAAGAATCACGGATTGAAAGGAATTTAGTGACCATGATGGGCAGGATCCCATGAGCACAAAGGGATGACCCAGGCCTCAGAAGTATGTGAGCCTCATCCACGTCCTAAGTCATGTCTGGTCTCTGCAGGCCTCAGCATCGAGGCTATCCCTTAGTTCTCATGAGTTCCCTACAAAAATCTCCCCCGGTTCAGTCTTATGTTCCTCCCCAGAACTCCTGTAAATACATTTTTTATATTTCTCACTTTCCACCTTGTGCCATAGACATTTCAGCACATATCTTTTCTCCCTTATAAGCAATAACCTCAGTGAAGACATATCCAAGACTAGCCCATCTGGCACATAGAAGGTATATAATAAGTATTCATTCAAGAAACGTCAAATTTTAAAAAATTAGCTGGAAAAAAGAGAAACATCCATATTATAAAATGCATTTTATAACCACATTTATTCAAACAAGAATATTTTCAGTCTTAGAATACTTGTAGGACACATACAATTTAAATTTGCATATATTTGTATATATAATTAACCCAGATTTTAAGCTCTCACACATGGTATTTAAAGACAGTTCAGCCTATCACCTTTAGATGGCTAGTCAAAGAAATTCAAAGACCATATCTTGATGTCTCCATTAATATCACGGAGTCCCTGGGTCTCTAGAGCAATTGAATACTTTTTAATGGGAATGTCACATACACTTATGTTGACATGGCATTAGTTCTGTGTTTCAGCATAAATGCCATTACAAAGTCAAGGAAGGTTTCACTTCTACTTTGCTTTTCAAGCACAAGTTTGTTTTTTTTGTTTTTTTTTTTTCATGTCATGATAACACGGAACCAAAAAATCTAATTATTTCTTCATTCCACCACAGACATCATGATACAGGATGCCAAGGATGCAGTTAAACTTGTGCTTCTATCTAAAATTATAATAACAACACCTTTCTCACAAGTTATAGGAACTAATTAATGTTTTAATGAAACAGCTTGACAAAAATAATTATCATTATGAAATTATGGGGGAAAACAGAAAAGAACTTAAGGACTTCAAGGACTACCGGATTGAAATGAGGATTTTAGTTTGATAGCCCAATAAGTAAAATTGCTGGGGGGACATATGGTCAGTAGAACACGTAGGGATTACTTTCTCGTCTACATTCTTTCAGCTTTTTCTCTTAGCCTTTTCTCATCCCAAACTGTTGATGACATCATTACGGAACAGATTTCTGGCAACGGATGACATTAAATGTGAATTTGCCAAGATAAACTGACTAGCGTACTTTGTTGGCTAGTTTGCAAACAATCCACAGTTTTCACTTTTCCAATATGGAAAACGTCTTCACTTTATAATGAAAAAAACAGAATCTAAACTCAAAACATAGCTTGGGACTACTTGCTTCAACAAATTTGACTAAATTCAAGCAGTTAATTCAGGTCATTAATCAATGTGATTAATTATGTTTAGGAAATTCACAAGTTATTTTATTTGGTCATATTATTTGATATGACTGCAGATAATATAAACTCCATAGTTTATAATTTGGCCTTCTTTTTATTCCTGAATTATATACTAGTGATAGAGGAGGGTGCCTCTCAAAATCAGTTTTGTTCTTATAAATGTACAGATACTTTTAAAACAAAAAATCATGGTAAAATTTCTAAAGGGCCTACCATTCTAACAGAAATAATTTCCCCAGTACTGTCGAGCGCCTTTTCTTTGGTAACTGTGTATATCTGGGGAGGGTCGGGGGACGAGATTAGTCATTAATAGTATTTTGTTATTCCTTTAAATGGTCAGCAGACGTGCTTTAGCGTGATGATAAAGAACTCTCATGAACAGACACTCTACAGTAAGACATATCTCCTGTTGCCATTTTGTATAATGCTAAATTCAAAATAAAACATACCATTATTTACTTCCCAGCAACTAATTACAAATCCAGAAGCCCTATGAACTGAAAAATAAATGAGGTTTTCTACATTGTAAACATACAACCATGAATAGCATATTATTTTTCCACAGAAAGTGAAGCAAGATCGACAAAACGTGAGGACTTCAAAAACAAGGCAGAACAAGATGGAATTTGAGTCAAACGTACGAGGAACAGTTTTTGTTTCGTGGGCCTTGCATAGGCATGTTCACATAGAAATGATCACTCTTCAGGCTATTAAAAAAGACAAAATATTTTCCAAGCTTGCTCCCCCTTTGCCAAAATCATGGAGATTTTCTCTCATTTTAGGAACTGTGGTTCTTATTTCTTCCCTTTTATAGCTGGAAGTCATTTTGGTATACAACCAACTATGTAACCTTTCTTTCAGAATCCACCTACTGCATTGCCAATGCAAATTCTTAAATCATGTTTTATGCTTTTATGTCTATTTAAAACATTGGTCCTCCATAAAGTACCCAGTTAAAAAAAAAAAAAAACAGTAGGCTCTCATTGCATTTTACTTATAAGGTATCATGAAAAATTAAGGTCAGAATATTTTCAAAGAATCTGAACAGTTTTCTAAGGTGAGATTCTTTCCTTTGGTCCTTGCAGGACGGCCAGGCCCTGGGGCTATGCCCTTCTCCACTCCCTGATCACCCCTGATTCTTATCCTCTTTCTCCACTCCTCCCTCTGACTTTTCCAGTTCTAGTTCTTCCCTTCAGTCCTACTGTAACCTTCCTGGTACACTCTTTGCTTTTGTTCAATTGCTTTGAAATGTTCTCAAGTGAAATGCCAGGACATTCTGAAAGAATTCTGGCTGTGTGTTTAATCAGTGGGTTCATTGAATATGGCTGCATTTGGCGAAGTTTTGCACCAGACTCCTTAATTTCAGGGAAAAAATACAGGAATAAAATGTCAGTTTATGGGCCACCATTTATTTATTTATTTATTTATTTATTTATTTATTTATTTATTTACTCTTGATGGCAACAGTAATCTATGTTGACAATATGGGAAGTAAAAAGAACCTAAGTCACCCATAATCTCACCACATCAATTATTAACTATCATCATTATTTTTATAAAATTCATCCCCTTTAATTCCTCTGCCTACAAAAAGTCATTTAAAAATCCTGTAATCCTGCTGCTTACACAAACTATAATCTGTACATTTATTTTAATGAAGCAGTGAATATCTCCCTATTCCATTAACTTTACTTAAACTTTCTCTCCAGCTTCATGACTGTTATGTAATGTGGAAACGCCATAATTTGTTTAAGTAGTACCCTATTGTTGGATGTTGGGCTTGTTTCTAAATGATCACTAATATAAATAATGCTGTGATTCCAGGACAAAGATGTACACATATCTGACTATTTCTTTAGACGGCTTTGAAGAGACTTCAAGTGCAAATACTACATTAAGGTAAACTGCAAGAATATACAGATATCCTTGTGATAAGTCGTGAGAATGACCTTATTTAGCATTTTTAAAATGATCTAGAAGAAGTATAATTTCCGAATTTACAGCAGTATAAACTTTTCTTGATAATGAAGTAACTCTGAGCCTAAAGGAAATAAAGTACATACCAATTTCAAAAGGCTAACAGGTTAAAAAGCAAGAGATAAGCTTCAATGGGAACATGTACAAGATGATGTACTTAGTGAAAAATAATATATTCCATACTTACAAGCTGATGGGATTACATAGCTTAAAGTGATAAATTACCACTCAGAACAAGGACATCAGAATCATTACTGCCTGTTTTCTGAAGACAGAAGTTCAATGTACCACTGAGAGCAGGAAAAATGATGATGTATTGAATAATACTCAACTTAACAATACTGAATGCCTGGGAAAGCATCATGGCTTTAGGGTGAAGAAGGAGAAGGCTGGCTAACCTGCTCTCAGAGGATTGCTGCTGCAGGATGGCAGAATACGTCACCCTAAAATATGCCACTTTGGCATAACAAGAATCTTGAGCTAAAGACTAAAAAACCAGCAGATACAAAAGGAAAACTCTGGCCTCCCTATAGGAGGACAAATAAACAGACATTCTTATCACCAGAGATGGGAGAAAACTCTCATGTGAAAAATGCTTTCCCCTTACCAGGAAAGAAGAAATGTTCTTGTCACTAGAGATGGGGAGCTGAAACCCAGAAAAATCTGTACAAACAGACTTTCTTAAAATAGCTCTTACTTTCCTTTATCCTTCCCATAGATTTTAGTTACTTCCACACCTGCCTACCTCTGTTCAGCCTATTATATAAGCATTTAGCTTTGGCCACTTCTTTGGGTCATTTCCTGTGGGGGCTCCCTTGTACTTGTAAAAATATCTGTGCTTTTCTCCTGTTAATCTATCTTATGTCAATTTAATTCTCAGGCCCAGCTGAGACTCTTAGAGGCCAGGAGGTAAAGTTTTGAACCCCCCTACTCTGCCTAAGGCAATAGAGAAAATATGGAGGCTGTGAAGAGATTTGTTTGAAGTCTGTTAAATCATGAATATGCTGTCACACCAAATGCTCAATTAGGAAACTTTGAAATTCATGAATGAATAAAAATAAGTATATTAAACAATGAATACTAAATATGAGGAACTCATTGCACAATAACTTACACAAGCCAAAAGTAAAATAATGGCTTAAAAATCACAAATACAATATTCATTCATATTTTAGTGATTAAAATAGTTCCAATCTACTTACCTTCCAGATTCATTCTCTGACATTTTCAGAGTTGTAATGAAAACACGTTTTATCTTTAACTGAGGCTTGCAGATTAAGTGAAAATAGGTGCAAACTCTTTTACTTGGCAAGTAAATATTTTCCTTAGAATGTGATAACATCTCACCTTTCATGCTTTCTTCATAACATACTGAAGCTGATGAAACCACTGCAAGTGATGAAACTGTTAGAGAAGCCGTAGAATACTGTTAAACAATCTTTCCTAGTAAATTATGCTTCATTTTTGTATTGTTTTTCTTCCTTTTCTATGCCTCAATTGGTCAACTACAAATTGTCAGCAATGAGTAAAAATCGTTGTTCTGTATAGCCCCTGGCCAATCTTGGAGCACACAAAAATATAAAAATGAGAGGTAGGAATGACTTAAAATATCAGTTTTCTTAGCAAGCTCTAATCACAGTGATAAAAATGAAATACTTGAAAAACAGTTTAAAGATTTCTCAAAGAACTAAGGGTTGAACTACCATTTGACCCAGCAATATTATTATTGAGTGTATACCCAAAGGACAATAAATCATTCTACCAAAAGGACACAAGCACACACACATATGTTCATTGCAGTGCTATTCCCAATAGCAAAAATATGGGATTAACTGAAGTGCTCATCAACAGTGCAATGGATAAAGAAAATGTGACACTTATACACCTGGAATACTATGCAGCCATAATAATGAATGAGATCATGTCCTCTGCAGCAACGTGGCTGGAGTTGGAGGCCATTATCTTAAGTGAACTAGTGCAGAAACAGAAAACTAAATATCACATAGTCTCACTTATAGGTGGGAGCTAACCATTGGGCACACATGGATATAAAGATGGGAAACAATAGATACTGGGGATTACTAGAGAAGGAGGGAGGCAAGAGCTAAACACTACCTATTGGATACTATGGTCACTTCCTGGGTGACCAGTTCAATCACACCCCAAACCTCAATATCATGCAATATAGCTTTGTAACAAACCTACAGGTGCCCTTGATTCCAAAATAAAATTTGAAAAACAAAAGTCCAGTTAGATGTCTAACTACAGTTATGTATAATTATATATAATATAGATATCCAACATATAAAGTATAACTATGATGACATACCATCATTATGAAATTAAGTATTCATTTGGCATGTATTGCTTTATTTCTGAAAAAAAGTATATATCACATGAGTTTGTGTCACCTATTTATTAAACAATATCTTGATATGCTTTTCAAGTTCTTTGAAATCTGACAATGTTTTCCTTTATAAAATGCAAAGAATGTTACTAATATGCTGGGGTCCAAGGTGGACTTTGAGCTGACCTACTGGTTGATCAACCAAGAGCCACTCCCATGGGACTTGATTCAATTTGTGACCCAGGCCCTCCTCTGGTGAGGTGAAGGGTCCAACCCAAGACTGTGAGAAAGCAACAAGAATTACAGCTTCCTACTTTGAGTAAGACACTTGTATACAGCTTTCATGTAATAACTCATTTAAGCCTCACAATCACTCAGTGAGGTACCTATTATTACTATCCTCATTTTACACATGGAGAAAGAAAGATCTTCGTGTGTTAAGCATGTTGCCAAAAGTTGCTCAGTAAGGATTGATAAACATGGGGGCCACAAGTGAAACCCCTGCAGTCAGAATACAGTGAACACAGCCCACACCTTGATACATGAATCCTTACTATCAGTCAATGGTTAACTGAATCCTATCACTGCCCTTGCCATATTTTTCAGGAGAGGACATTAAGTGTATATGATGGCTTCTTCTAAAAGTGGGGTGTGTGGGATGAGGAGTGGGACACAATTGTGAATGCAGTGTAAGAGCAAGGGGATACTATTTTTTTTTCTGAAAAAAGCATGTACTATTTGAATCTATTTTTGTGAAATTATATACATATTTTTGTGTAAGTATGTATAAAATATAAGGTTTGTGGAAGGATGGTGTTCAAAATGTTAACAGCAGTTACCTCATAAAGTTGCATTCTAGCAAATCTTTTCCTTAATCCTTCCATCTCTGTGAATGGCACAAATGCTTTCCAATGAACACACAGGATTCAAATGATAGAAAAGTAATAATGCTTATTGCCCAGAGGAAAACGGAAAGAGAAAAAAAGGAAGGAAAAGCAGAAAAAAGATAAAGAGGGAAGAAGGGTGGGAGGGGAGAAGGTAGGAAGGAAGGAAGGAAGGAACAAAGGAAGGAAGGAAAGAAGGAAGGAAGGAAGGAAGGAGGAAGGGAGGGAGGGAAGGAAAGTGGGGAGGAGGGAGGGAAGGAAAGTGGGGAGGAGGGAGGGAAGGAAAGTGGGGAGGAGGGAGGACTGAGGGGAAACAGGGAGCGGGGAGGGAGGGAGAAAAAGAAAAAAAATATTTGCTTGGCTGCTTTTATTCTATCTTTTCTCCCCAACAAGTGGCTATATAGTGCCTCAGCTTCCATTTCTTGATAGAGAGTTCCTACAAGCTGTTTTATATCATCAGTTTTCATTCTTCCATGATGGGAAGCAATATATTTTGATGGTTAAGAGGATGCACTTAGGAAACAGACTAAAATTTGAATCTCCACATGCAAGATGTATGACCTTGTAGAAGTTATTTATTCTTTCCAAGCCGATATTTTTTTCTATATAAAACAAGGATAATCTCTGCCTCTGAGATTTGTGATGGGAAATAAATTAGATAATGTACTTGGCATATAGTAAGCACGCAATACTTGATAATTATTTTTCCTATTGTCCTTGAGAGCACATGCTGGTATAATCTCCAATGGTGTATACTATTGCATATGGCTGAAAAAAGGATTTTTAACATTTTTGTGCCATGGGCCCTTTTGACTTTCTCCTGAAGCCTGTGAAGACCTTCTCAGGATAATGTCTAAAAATCCCTAAAATAAAACACATACTATTACAAAGAAAACATAAAGAAGTTATAAAGATATTTTTAATTTTGATAAATATGCTTATTAATGAACATATTAAATCATAAGGTCTGGCAGCAGATATAATTGGTAGTAATTATTGGGAAGTAGTGATGAGTATAAATGACATTTTCAGATATCTGCACCAAATATAAGGTAATATGAATACGTATGTGAATTCTATTGGTGATAAAGCTACAGACATTGTTAATTCTACAGTGGTTTGTTGTCTACCTTTATAATTACAGTAATGCTAAATTTATAAAGATGAAGATGAAATTTTTCCCATTCCAGATTGCAGAATCTGTGAGTTTTGTTTACCAATGTTCTCGGCTTAGAGAACCCTGGGATATAAGATTACTTTTGAAAGAGAATATTCATTTTGGCTTTGCCATCTACAAAACGGGCAATTATTTTGAACTTGGCATCATCCTTGACTCCTCTTGCAAACCAAATCATCAGCAAATCTGTATGCTTTAATTCCAGATATGTGTAGAATCTGACCACTCTCAGGACCTTCATCACCCCATACTGGTCCAAGCTACTATCTTCTCCTACCTGGATTTTTTTTCAACAGCCTTTTGCTTTTACACTTGTTCTAGGATCCACAGTCTATTTTAAATACAAATCAGATAACACGGAATACTCAAAATTCTTCTAAAATTTCTCATCTCACTTGAAGAAAAATTCAACAACTTCATTTATCCAACAGCCCCTAAATGATCTCCTCTGGCTCCCCAAGGGTTTTCATTTCATACAACTCCTCCAACCCCACTGCAGCAGCCACACCGGTGCTTTGAAAGCTCAGTGACTATTCCAGGCTTGCTCCTTCCTCAGGGTCTTTGTACTTACCTTCTCCTCAGTCCAGGATACTGTGGGCTCCAGTGAGTTTCAATGACTTCTCCAGTGAGGCTTCCCTGAGCATCCATTTTTAAATATTACCCTTGCTCCATTTCATTTTTTTACCCCTCCTTGCTTTATTTTCCCTGTGTACTTAGTATTACGTGACAAACTTTTTTTTTTATTATTTCATTGTTTATTTTCCTCCACTACAATGTAGTACCATAACAGCAGATTTTGTCATTATTTTGCTTTTCCTTGTTTTTCCTGCTATAATCCTTAGCATCTAGAATTTACTTCCATAAAAGGAGTTGAATAAACATTGGCTAAGTGAAGGAGTATTTTGATTTAACATATACACTATTTTTGCCATTATGCAAATATTTCTGGAATAAGTAATGACTATCTTAAGGAAATAAAACTTACAACATTATTAACCAGTTATTTTGAGATATTATACTATATATACATGAACTTTATACCTTCTTCCATGGTTTCATGTTAAAAAGACCATTCTCAAGGCATAACTTGTGATTATTCGTTTTTGTATATGGTTATAATGTTGTTGTCATCTTTAATCAACTTTAGCTGTAACTTTGTCTCTTTTTTTCCAATTATAAAGCCTGAAATGCCTATTAGTCTGAGACACAGATGGCAATAAAAGGATCTCATTAGAGTTATTAAACTAAATGACAGGTATGCCTTGGAAAGAGTTATTGCTGTATGTCCAGACAGATGATTCTATTCATTTTTTAATAAGATACAAACATTGTAATAGTTTTTGTATTTGGAATGCATTTTCAAAATAAAATCTAAATTAAGTGAAAACAGTTTTGGCTAACAAACTCATATTGATAAATTTTTGCTTTGGTCAACATTTAGGATTCTGATATATATAAATTTAACAGTCTATTGTCTATATCTTTGAAACATTGTTAATTAACCAGCCCTTAACTATCATGAATAGTTAAAATTGCATAAAAGGGCTATGCCTCAGCAGAGTATGCTAATCCCAAGGGAGTTAATATCACCAAATGTCATATCACTAAATGTTATGCCCATTTTGTTGATCTACTTGATGACAACAGTGCAGTTTTACAGCAGTGTGATAAGAACATTCTCATAAAAATCAAACTCAGATGTGTTTTAGCTATAAGCTACAATGTGTCACTCTATTTCCACAGTGTGCATGAAGGTTACATGTTGACTTCATTATTGATTTTTTTTTGAAAGCTCAGCAATTTGTGAACTCCGAAAGTTCTAGGTTTTTATAATTTATTATTTTTTATTTTTTAAGGTGAGTACTCCATCTTGCATAATACAAAATGACTTGAGCAATCTGGACACCTTTGGAATGTCCCCATTTGTCATCTCTAATATGACGGCTACATATGGAGGACATGTTGCCTGAATATTATTCTATTTCTTCAAGAAACTGTCTGTCCTTCCATCATAATCAACCTATTCTAGCAATGCATTTCAGGCTGCAAATTTCACTTTCATATGGCAATATGTGTTGATTTTTAGCAGGCTTCCTTAAAACAAGACAAAGATTTATTCATAGATAGACTGCCTACAAGGACCTTATTATTTAATTATGACTGTACATAAGATTCCCATGGTTAATCTCATCCTAGAGAAATGCACATTTTCTATAGAACATCACCTATAGGAAAGTTCTGAGGCTGTAGCGTTTGGGACACTATCTGAAAATAATCTGTTCCATATTTCACATGCATAACCTGAGACGATAAATCTTCCTTCAAAGAAGTATAAAAGAAAAGAAAAGTTAGAGAAATTTCAAAAGACCTACATCCCAGAGTTGATTTGAATTAGTCTGGCAAAACATTGTGGCAAGAGACCTCTAGTTATTCATCTCTGCCTTACTAATCACTTTCCTTGCAGTCAGCAATTACCTTAAAAGATTGCAGGGAATGAGGAGGCTCAAATAGTCTTCCAAGGAGCACAAATAATTATAAGATATGCCACACATAATAACATTCAAGTTCAAAAAAGCCATAACAGTTTACTGCACCCTTAAAGCGAGTAAAGTAGGTATATAATCTCTTCTACACATACCTCCCCTTCTCACATTGCCAAGGTTTGCTATGAACCCAATAGTCTTTGTTTTAGAGAATGTTAGCATTGATCATTGAGCTTACACTGTTTATGCCCCCATCCCCTCCAAATAAACAAACCAACTTCAAGAATTTTCAAACATTACAAGGAGGAAAAGGCCTAGCATTTTGCACTCCTTTAGTTTTCTTTAAGCTATAACCTAAAAGGTTTCTGCTCTGAATGGTGAAAATGTGCTCCACTAAGAGGAGAGAGAAAAAAAAAAAAAAACTATACCATTATTCTGTGCTGTTTGAAGGAGTACAGTGGAGGTGATGTCCAATTTTAAAATAACAAAGCATACAAATATGCATTTTAGTCAGCTTTGCTGCAGTAACAAATAACCCTAAAATCCCAGGGACTTAAAACAATAAAAATGTGTTCTCAGTAATAATTTATCTCTCCCTGATATTTCTGGTGGACTGCCCTGAGTTAATGTTTTCTGCCCTCCTCCACTGTCTCCTTATTTTGGGGGCCCAGAATGTACAAGGTGATCTTATTTGTGAAATATCAATTTTGTGGCAGACAGAAAGAACAAGAGAGCTGGGAAAATATGCAGTGGCTCTTATAGCTGCTGGTGGGACATGGCAGATTTCTGATCTCACTTTTCTTTGGTCAAAACAAGTCCAATGTCAACGCAGTGTAGAAATACATTGCTCCCAGAGAAACAGTGCCCCTCACATGGTAACAGGCAGGGATATGTGATCATGCATTCTACGACAGTTCCTTGTGATTAATTCTGTCACTATAAATACTAGTTTTCTTGCAAATTCCACAACTAGCTTGAAAGGCATTTCCAACAACAGAATTTCAATCAGGGGTTTCAATTGTTTTGTTTTCCATTATTTATTGTTTATTTCATCCCAACAATGCTTTGACCATCGGTGGATTAAATACTCCAATGACGTCTGAGCACAACACCATTGGCTATATAACCTCTACTATCTTAATTAAAATCTTATATTAGCTTGTTGTTATAACTTATAAACAAACTCCAGCATTTATTAAAGTAAAACAACCTTTACAACACTTTTCCAGCTTTCTAATCTCTCCCTCATCATAGACTAACTTCCTCAAAACATTGCCCATTTTTTTCTATCCTAGGAATATGTCAGTATGTGTGCTCTCTCTCTCTCAAGGGTGTTAGAATTATGCAATGTGGAGCCGAGTTTTGTCCTCTCCTTGAAAGAAATCCTTGAATTACTGAGTAGTTAGATTAGTCAATGTAGGGGAATGGGAGCACAGAGCGCTGGAGAAAGGGCAACCTCTTTCTCACACTAGGAACACTACAAACCGCAGGCTCTGTTAGCCCTGGAGCTCATCCACCAAAAAGTGGTAACATGTGTCATTTACAGGATGCAGCAAAAATCTGTGGTACTATGAAAAGATATGTTCTGTGCTTTCCCTGTGATATCAAAACTGAAGTAACGTGCTTAGACTGAATCTCACCACATCATGCCAGGAAAATATATGCTGGGCAGATCTCACTGTGGGATTGCTTTGATGCAAGACAGATTGCTGTATTTCCCAGCATTGCTCTGAGTATGCCTTTAATGAACAGAAGGCGAATATTTGAACTACAACTCACACAACAGAACCAAAACCACTCAGGTCTTTGTTCTGGGTATGGATCCAAATCTTTGCTTGCAATTATTATAATGTTTGTAGGTTTTCTTTATTTTTTATACTATTTGCAATAGACTTCTGACATCCATCTTCTACTCTAAATAGGAATTTCTTCCATATCAACACTGGCCTTCAGGTTGTGTTGGGATATTTGCAATGATTGGAGGCTCAATATTTCATGACAAATTTCTCTCTTTCATGGGACAGTGCTGGGTATAATGTGTCCACGTTACAAAAGGTCTTCAATTTCTGAGTCTTATAGACATACACAATAATGAATTCTCATAAAATAAGACTGTTCCTACAAATTGGTAGTTTTAAATGGCTTCCAGTTTTGTATGAAAGTTTGGATCAATAAGGAATTTTAGATATAGATAAGTAAAAAAAAAAAAGCTGTATTATGCCAAATTCATCTAGAATCAAATTTGTGAGAAAACCCAATACGTTTTTAAAATATATACAAAGATAGGTGTTTGTCCTTGGATAGGACTTATTAGTGATTATGGGATAATTCTTACTGAGTTAGTGGTGATCTAAGCAGCTTCCCTTCAGCTCTACGCTTCATTATATTCATGTAGTTCAAACTCTACATAGGTTTGTGGTGGATTCTAGAGTTTTGCCTACTCAAAGTTGTTCCTATTCATTTTTCTTTCACCTTTCTTTTACTATAAAAAGTTAAAAACTCACACCCTCACACTTGCTGGCCTGCGACTGACCACATAACACTGTTCTGCACAATGAGACATAAGTAAAAGTTCACTAAAAATTCTGGGGAAAGCCTTTGCTTTCCTGATACCGATACTACTTTGTCCTTCTTCCTTCCTTTCCTACTGTGTCTTCCCTCTCCTTCATGCTTCTAGAAACTCAAATGTGATGGCAAATGTTATAGGAGTCATATTGTAGCCATGAATTAAAAATCAAGATAATTACAAACACAGCCACTCAAACATCCCGGAACCACAAAACATATGTCTGGAACTGGATACATTCTGACTTCTTGTTAAAGAAGAAAAATAAAAAGTCAAATTTGTTTAAACCACCGTTTAATAGGGTTTTCTATAACTTGCATATGAACACAATCTTTATTTATGGTTCTAAGTGATTACAGTAAAAACCTAACCTGGCACCTTTCACTGGGACCCTTGGCCATTTCTAAATTTTAAATGGTTAGTTTTGCTCACCAGACTAGACTAGGTCTTCAGTTGAGGACAGGCAGGAGGTGGTCGAATGCATAAGGCGTCACTAATGTCTGTTCTGGAACAAGGTTACTTTGACATCCTGAGGTTTTTGGAAGCCAAAACTAAGTAACAAACATATCAAAATATATTTCATATTCTAAAATCTCTCTGACCTGAAAACATAAAGTGCACATTTAAGATCACACTTATTAATTTAAAAATTAAAACAGGACAGCAGTTTTCATATCCTCTTCGAATGGGATTGAGGGAAGCTGGGGTAAAGTATATGTTCACTGCATCAGTACATTCAAAAGTATACCCAGTAGTATGTTAAAGTTATCATGAACAAATAGTAACTTTCATCTTCACTTAAAAACTACTCTTTGATATCTAGAGAAAGCAGTGGGAAACATATGTTTACTATATTGAAATTATGGGGTCTTTCAACTGTAAGGTCCTAACTCCTGATTAGAGACTTCCTGGGATGCAATTCCTTTCTAATACTATATAAATTAGCAGTGGCAGCTCCTGCAAAAATTTCAAAACAAGAATTTAAAATCCTCAAAGGAATGGAAATCATAATCCGACTTTCTATTCTTTCACTTCCTAGTCTCTGCCCTTTCCTTCTATTCTTGCTTTATCTATTTTTAAATTTAGTTTTGTGGCAAAAACTTTGGTTATTTATTTATTTATTTATTTATTTATTTATTTATTTATTTGAGACAGAGTCTCACTCTGTCACCCAGGCTGGAGTACAGTGGCGCCATCTCGGCTCATGGCAACCTCCGCCTGCTGGGTTCAAGTGATTCTCCTGCCTCAGCCTCCAGAGTAGTCCCAGCTACCACCACACCCAGCTAATTTTTGTATTTTTAGTAGAGACGGGTTTTCACCATGTTGGCCAGGCTAGTCTTAAACTCCTGACCTCAAGTGATCCACCTGCCTCGGCCTCCCAAAGTGCTGTGATTACAAGCGTGAGCCACTGCGCCTGGCCGCAGTTATTTATTAAAGCTGGGAACTATCTTGCCTCTTCACTGGCAAAAGAGCTATCCAGAAAAGTTCTAAAATTTGGGACAAGGAAAGATGAGAATTTTACAATAGTCAGTGTCCCATGATTCTGAACCTAAAAAGACTGTCTTTCTTCTATAAAACTCAGTTACCTTGAAGTCACATTCTTATTTACTTCCCCATGTAAATTTACTGAGTAATCAGTTTCTCACAAGTATGACCCATGAGAACACATTAAATGCAGAATTCAACAAATGCATAAGAAAAGGGACTTGCCAAATTATAAATTGGAAAAGGAAAATAAATTGGCAGCCATCTGTTTTGAAAAATCAAACTCATTGAAAATTGTCAACAAAATTTGTATTGAATCCAGAAAATGTGTCCCTACTTGATATGACCTGATGGGCTTATTATATTTTTGTTTTCTGACTGATCTAAACTCAGAACTAAATATTTTCAGTGCTAATGTTTATTTTTATAAATAGCCCTTTGAGGTTTGGCTGCTTAAATATGTAAATGATTTTGCATTTAGCCAAGACTAATTTGACATGCGTTTTGGAAAAGGATCCATACCTGTGAGGGAGGTAAAGACATATTGGTGGCAGTGGAAGGGTGTAGTGGTTTTGTGTCTATCGTTGTACATAATTTACATATATGTGCATATATGCACAAATAGAAAATGTGGCCATTTGGAAAACAGTTTTTATTTTATTATATATATATATATATATACATATATATACACACATATACATATATTTGAGACATGGTTTGGCTCTGTCACCCAGGCTGGAGTGCAGTGGTCTCAACATACCCAGGCTCAGGTGATCCTCCCACCTCAGCCTCCTGAGGAGTTGGGACTACAGGTACACACCACCATGCTGGGCTAATTTTTGTATTTTTTGTAGAGATGAATTTCGCCATGTTGCTCAGCCTCATCTCAAACTCCTGGGCTCAAGCGATCCACCTGCCTGAGCTTCCCAAAGTGCTGGGATTAAAGTGGCTTGAGCCACTGTGCCTGGCCTACTTCTTTACCTCTTATTTCATTACCGTTAATAGTTAAAGACACAGCAACTCTCACATACCCACTGTCAGCACCAATGATATCAAGTGGTCCCATTGTTAAAACTTAGCCATGGATAAAAGATTTTCCAAGACATGGTAAGTTTCTAAGTTGACATCTCTAGATTGGATTTGAGGCAATCCAATGTTTTAAACTTTATAATACCTTCTTTCTTTTAGTCTCAACTTTTCATGAAGGTGGACAACACAAGTACTTTGGAATCTGAAATGCTATGTCAGTTTTCAAAAGGACCCAAATCACATTTCAGAATCTTATCCCTTTCCCTCCTTTCACTTCAACAACAATCATCCACAGCAGAGCTCTGCCAAGGAGGTATAACATGATAGAGAAACAAGCTTGCTGATGATGTTTACCCAAGAAAATCCCAGAAGGCACATACTAAATTGAATCATTCCATAAAACTAAAAATTCGTTCTATCTTTAATCCACATCTATATATGAGTACATAAAATCAATGACAGCATTTATCAAACATCAACTAACTTCTGAGTTTGAGGAAGTATGCTAGATGCCATGGGGAACACATACAGTGGTATATAACTACAGATACAGGCAAGGCATGACATGTCCCTTTGGGACTGGTGACCTGTTTGAAGAGAGAAAATTCATGGAAAATATAGAATGAAATACAAACAAAAGGCAACTGTAGGGACCTGACAGACCAGCGTTATCAGGTAAAACTTTTTAGAAAATATTGGATCTGGACTAATGTTCAGATGAGACATATATTAGTTTGTTAGGGCTGCTATAAAAAGTAGTATCACAGAGTCAGTGGCTTAAACAACAAAAATGTATTTCTTGTGGTTCTGGAGGCTGGAAGTCGAAAGTCAACATGTCTACAGGATTAGTTTCTCCTGAGGTCTCTCTCCTTGACATGTAGACTGCTGAGACAGCCAAGTGTAAAGAGGTCCCCAGAGAAACTCCAACCGACCTGCACTGGGAGGAGTGTGCACTGGGGTAGAGCCACAGAAGTTCATGCCATTTGCAGCAGGGAGGAGCCTGGCTCCTCCTTTTCCTGGGTTGTACCTGGGATTCAATCCACAAGGTGGAAAGCACATGTGTAGGGACTGTCCTTGTGGAGAGTCCCTGTTTCACTTTTTTCCTTTTCACCCAGTAAACCCTCCCCTCCTTACCCTTCAAATTGTCTGCGAGCCTAATTTTTCATGACCATGTGCAAGGACCCCTGTCTTACCTGAACTAAGAATCCTACAACACAGCCACCTCTCCGTGTAACTTCACATGGGACTACTGTATGTGTGCAGTATCCTCATTTTCTTTTCTCATGAGGACACTAGTCAGATTGGATTAGGGCCCACTCTAATGACCTAATTTTAATTTAATCACTTCTTTAAAGGGCCTATCTTCAAATACAGTCACACTCTGAGATATGGGGGGGTTGTTAGGACTTTGACATGTGAATATTTTGGGGGAACACACAACTCAGCCCATAACAGAAGGTGAGAAACTCAGAAGGCATTTATGCTAAAAGAAAGTATATAATTTTATCAAAAATTCTTAAAATAAAAGTATACTGTATTTTATTTATTATAATACATTTATTTTAGTTGCTGCTATAGATTATCCATGACTAGTTATAGAAAATACTCTTTCTAATTATATGGACAAAACCAAAAAGCGTCAATTTTTAATACCAAATAAATGGATGTTCCTTAAGTGTACCAAGAAGGATTGGCTCCTGAAGAACTCCTACACTATTTTTCCAGGAAGAAAAACTAATTTTCACAGCTGGAAGTTACTTCATTGCCAGTAGGGTGTGACTATTCAGTCAGCAAACATTTATTAAATACCTACTGTATGCTTGGCAATGTCCTCCATGAAAGGAATTAAGATATGTCTGAAATGTGAACCCTAGCTCATTATTCAGATGAAGAAACTAGAGAAGTTTCAGAAGTGTCCGTAGAAGTTGGACAAGGCTAGAACTAGCGAGCAGCACTGCAGTCTTCACCCACAGCTTGCCTCACCCTCTATATAACGCTGACTCCATGAAAGTTGGTTTCCATGTTAGGATCTGTTGAGAATTATTGAACTGAGAAGATATGCCTAATACTAAGTCTCTTGAGTAATTAAGCTTATGTCATATGCACAGTCAATTAGGCTAATGGCCAATCCAATCACTCAAAAGAACCCAGTAAGTTCTGGACATATAGTAATGATAGTAACACCTAACTTTTTTTCTGTGCTGCCTGTGGCCAAACCTAATGTTGTGTGCTTTACATCCATCACTTGATTTACTTCTCACAATTACCCTTGAGATTAGGTACAATTATCATTGACATTTCTATAGATTAAAAAGCTGAGGCTTACAGCATTTAAGAAAAATACCTAAAAGTCACAGTGGAAGATAATTATGCTTCAGATTTCATATTACCAAATGTAACAGAAGGAAGATATTGCAGAGATAAAGTTGCAATCTCTACTCTTGTCAAGAAAGAAAAAAAGGAATGCTGTGAATTTGTGGTTTATTGTTTTATTTCCATAGACATAAGAGCACAGCTATTCTATAAATGCATTATTCAGCAGAGCAGTATCATGAATTGTTATATTGAAGTAGCAGAACTTACTGAATCTTATCAGTTGGGGTCTTTGGACATAGATATAAAACATGTTTTGTTATATCTTAACCTAATGTCAGGACAATTGGCTGTAAGTCTAAGAGAGTATGTAATGTTTTAAGTTATTTTAATCTTTTCTAACTTTCTATTAACTGAATTGGATCAACTGTATGACCTAATTGTGAATCATAAAGATTTTTAAAAAATAGATCTCACTGAAAATTATTTCAATGGCTCGAACCTAGGCATTGTCTGAGTATCCTCTGAATAAAAAAGATGCACTAGTTTATTGCCGTTTTCTAATAATGGTGTTGTTTACAAGTATAATAAGTATAATCATTCAAAAATGTATGCATATGTATTTTTCTACTAGATATAACAGGCCACAAAAAGAGAAATAAGAATTTCAGATGGTATAGGACATCTCAAAATGTCCAAGTATAGCAAGCAATATAGTTCCAATTTTCAATATATTTACCAGACTTAGTATCTACTTAAACAGACTGTGTGTTTAACCTTTTCCTGAAGGCTTTAACTCTGCTAAGCAGAGCTCAGAGACTGTCTAACTGGCCTTAAAAAGTCATTTGAAGTAAATGGATTCTTGGTGATAAATACTAATGACTTTTAAAAGTCAGTTTTTTTTGTTTTTTTTTTTTCTGGCTAGAAGTACAGTTTTACATCTCATGTTAAGTCCAGTGAATTTTTCTCCTTTAAGAAGAAGGGAAAACATTTCAAAATTGGGTCTAACTTATTTAGTCTTTCTGTCTCTGCTTCTTTCTTGTAATTGTGCCAATAGAATACTCCAATTTTTGGTATTTAAAAAACTAATCTTTGTTTCCATACTTTTTAGTAAAAACTGCTTTGGATATTTTGAATATTTTTACTTCTAAAACATGGGCTTCATTTAAATGATATATTTAAAATATTTCTACAAAACATCTTATTTAAATATATTAATCCAAAATCCGACACTTCTTCATCATGGTCCTGGGGAAGGCATGGAGACAAAATTCAATAGTGCTAAGAATCCAAGTGGAGTCACTGGCCATAATACTTCACTTAGCTATTTACATAAACTCCAGTGTCATGCAAGTACAACCAATGGACTAACTACAGCTGGTCCCAATTGTACAACCCAATCTCAGTGAACTGGGAAGACTCAGCACTGACCCCAGACCCTCCATCACTGTAGAAATACTTACACAGCTACAAGTGAAACCTCTTCACTGATAGCCCCTTCGAAAGGGTGCATGTTGGCAGACTACAGTCTCCCTGCCCACTTTACCAAGGAATAGGCAATGCACATATGGGCCAGCTGTAATGAGTTCATTAGTTGTGCCTGCATTACAAAGGAGGAATCAGAGTCTCTCCTCCCTGAATTTGAATTGCAAGTGCCATTGCCCTCAGGGATGGAACTGAACCTGGAAAGCCACCACACAGAATGCATCTGGAGAGAATGGACTGTCTGCAAGCTGAGGCTCTGAGGAACAGACAACTAATAAATTGATCAAAGGCACTTCCATTTTCTTTGATACAATCATGCAATCAACTAACTTAATCCCTTGATTTTCTAAGTTTTCTTAAAATAATCTAAAATTCCTTGCTGAAATTCTAATCCAGCTCTATGGAGCAAGACTTCTTTGGTGCTTAAGAACAGTCTGATGGGCTGGAAGCAGGTTATTTGAGGTAACCTCAATGTAGATAACAACATTAAAACCTTAGTTCTCCCTAGAATTTTGAACTCTTAAAATGATCCCTACTACAACTGTTCAGTTAAGTATGAAATTTATGTGTTGAGAGATATCTAATAAAAGTATGTCTTTTCTTCATAATGATAGTCACTTATACTATAACATTAAATATGCATTCTGAAAAAACAAAATAAAACAAAAGACACCACGCTAAGTGGGATTTCACGATAAAAACCATAGAGCTTATGGGAAAATTGGAGCTAGATGCACAGCACTGTAAAAATTTTTATCAGTAACAGAGAAAATAATAGAAACCTAATAACAGCAGCTTAATTTCCACATAGGAAATGGTTAATAAATGCATAAGTAATACAATAAATGTGGCACTTCTGAAAAGATCTGAAGCGTACTTATAGAAGTGGTCATCAGAAGGGATGTAGCTTGTGAATTACTGTGAAGCAGCAGTGGAAGGAGGGTTGATAAGTTTTGGATCTGTGACCCGACCTAAATCTCACGTTTAATTGTAATCTCTGGTATTGGAGGTGACTGGATCATGGGGGCAGTTTCTCATGGTTTAACAACATCTCCCTAGGAGCTGTCCTCATGATAGTGAGGTTAGTGGTGGCACATATACACCATGAAATATTACGCAGCCATAAAAAAGGATGAGTTCATGTCCTTTGCAGGGACATGGATGAAGCTGGAAACCATCATTCTCAGCAAACTAACACAAGAACAGAAAACCAAACACCACATGTTCTCACTCATAAGTGGGAGCTGAACAATGAGAACACATGGACACAGGGAGGGGAACATCACACACCAGGGCCTATTGGGGGGTGGGGGCTAGGGGAGGGTTAGCATTAGGAGAAATACCTAATGTAGGTAATGGGTTGATGGGTGCGGCAAACTACCATGGCATGTGTATACCTATGTAACAAAACTGCATGTTCTGCACATGTACCCCAGAACTTAAAGTATAATAATAATAAAAAAAGTGTGTAGCACTTCCCTCTCTCTCTCTTCATCCTGATCCAGCCATGTAAGACATGCCCGCTTCCCCCTTTGCCTTCTACCATGATTGTAAGTTTCCTGAGGCCTCCCCAGTCACGTTTCCTGTGCAGCTTGTGAAAATGTGAGCCAATAAAACCTGTTTTCTTTATAAGTTACCCAGTCTTAGGATTTTTTTTTTTTTTTTTTGAGATGCAGTCTCACTCTGTCACCCAGGCTGGAGTGCAATGGTGTGATCTAGGCTCACTGCAACCTCCGCCTCCCGGGTTCCAGCAATTCTTCTGCCTCAGCCTCCCAAGTAGCTGGGCCTATAGGCGTGTGCCACTATGCCTGGCTAATTTTTGTATTTTTAGTAGAGACGGGGTTTCACCATATTGGCCAGGCTGGTCTCGAACTCCTGACCTCAGGTGATCCACCCACCTCCACCTCCTAAAGTGTTGGGATTACAGGTGTGAGCCACTGAGTCCAGCCAGGAATTTTTTATAGCAGTGCAAGAATGGACTAATACAAGGGTTATCCAAAATTGGCAGAAAAATTGTAACATCTCAAGGAATAGATGGGGTGTGGCTCATAACATAAGCAGCAAACTGAGGAATCTGGAAGATGTTTGAGGGAGAGCTGGCTCCATGGATGTGCACCTTGTGCAGGAACACATGGCCCCATGCTTAGGAGGACACCAAACTTGGTTTAACGTTCTGCTGTGGCCGTCTTGAAATCCTTAATAATTCTGAAACAAGACGTCTCATATTTAATATTTTGTATTGAGTCAGGCAAGTCATGTAGCTGGCCCTGCTTTAGGATGTGTGTGTATGTATGCACGTGTGTGTATTTTGTGTTTCCTTACAGGATGCTATTCAGCTAGGTGCAGTTTTCTGCATTATTGCCATAGCGTTTGTAGCAAATGAAATTGTGCATAAGCAAACTCAAACTTCTTATTACGCTCAAATTTCCTCCTCATGTATCAATCATGATGGAACAAAAAAAAATCATGCTTTCTAAACAAGCATTATAGCAGAACTGACTGTACTTGAGTATTAGAAAACTATTATTAATGTGAGGTAAAACAAAGGAGAAAAGGATCCCACAATGAGGACAGCAATGCACTTCCTAAAAATACAGGCTGTTCTTGGCCAGGGAACCCCATGCTCTAAGTGAAGAAAGTCAAAGTATACTAACTCCTCCAAAGAGTAGTCTAGAATTCCCAGGGGAAAGAGCACATTTGCATTAAAAAATGAATCAGCTGTTTACAGTTGGCTGTTCTGATTGTCCTTTCTAAGTCTTTCTCCCAAGCATTTTGGCCTGGGGCCTTGGGAAAAGAGGTAGAAGGAGGGATTTTTAAAATCTTTCAGCCAAACTGCTAGACTGCACAGTGGAGAAGAGAGGGAGGGCATCTCTCACTCTCTTCAAGGACAGGATGGGAGCCCTGTCCTGCGCAGAAGGCTCCAAGCCTACCTGGGTTGACACCTGGAAAACACACAACACAAAGGCCACAACACAATGAATTGATCATTTGGATACTGGGAATCCAAGGAGGTAGGATCTCACCGGTAGCACACAGCTTCCCAGTCCAGCAGGATTTTAGAGTCTGAAGGTCCTGTTTTTCATAGAAGGTGGCCATGCCCAGAAAGCACAGTTTAATTACTTTCTTTTTTATAACTCTCAAGCTAATGTGACAGACTGAACATCCCTATTTTGACATTTCCACTCTTTTATGGAAAATAGGGCAGAAAAATAAAGGGCAGAAGATTAACTTTGATATTGTTAGCTATAGAAGAAATACTATACATCCTTTTTATTAAATTTGTCTCATCCTCATTGTATAAACTCACTCTAAAATAAAAAAAAACTGTCATTCAACACTGGTAGACACTATTTTATAGTCATTCTACAATTTCCAACCAATGTGTTTTACTTCATCTTATTTTTACAGAATAATGAAAATTCGGAGCATAGTAAGCATAAGGTATTTTAACTACAAACCACAAAGGACAAATAATGTCATAGAAAACAATTTGCCAGAAACCACTTTCTCTCAGAGCTTGGTTTTCCTTCCACATATTTCCTAGCTATTTAAATTCTATCACTTAATATCAATCCCAGGACTAAATTTTCTCTCTTGAAACTCCTTGCTTTTAGTTATTTCTTATGAATAGGTTTATCTTCTCTTATACTTAACCAGCTCTTAGCCCTTGGTTTATTTAAAAGTGCTACTTGTCATGATAATGGATACTGATATGTTGATTGACATCTTTTCTTAAAGCATTTATGGCAAGGTTTGGCTTGGTTTTCTACACATCTGGTTATCAGGTGCTATTAAGAGGCCCATTACCATAATTTATTTTTTACATGAGTGTGACTTTACCCATGTGGTTTTCTCCTAAGTGCTACACACCTGCTATTTTGTTTCGTTTTCTAAAAGATTACATTTGCACTTTTAGAGGAAAACCACAAGGATGCTGGTTTTTATCCTTCTTTCTTAATCTTGCATTTCCATTCACAATGAAATAGCTCTTAGTCATTTTAGTGTGAAACCAAGTTTAAGATAACACAGATTGAAATTGAGACGTATAAAGCCCTGCTTTTGAAATGAAAATGTTCTTCAATAGCACTGCAGCCCCTTCAAACCCACAGTGTTTCAAATGTCTTTTAAAATGAGGCAATCTGTTCATTCCTGTGAGATGGATTATTTTAAGAGAGCTCCTTAGATTTGCTGTGCTGCTAGTTACTGGGTCTCCCATTAGCTTGTCCACTGCCAGCTCTCAGATCATACAAGGCCAGTGGGAGAAAATTCACTATATTGGCCATTCCCCACATTTGTGCTCAGAGAAGCTATGCCTGTGTCTGGAAGACAGTGAAGAGGAAAAAAAAAAAAAAAAGTTGAAATTTGTTTTACTCCAGTACTAACAAGCAAATATACATGTGAGGATGTATTTCTTATAATATTAATACAAAGCCTTATATTAATAAGATGGGGAAAATATTTCAAACAATGCATTTGACAAGAGGTTAGTATCCAGAATATTCAAGGAACACAAATAACTCAAGGGAGAAAAAAATTCCAGTTAAAAAACGGGCAAAAGACCTGAGAAGGCATTTCTCAGAAAACATACAAATGACCAACAGGTATATGAAAAAATGCTGAACATCACTAATCATCAGGAGAATGCAAATCAAAACTACAAGAAGATATCATCTATTCTGAGTTAAAATGGCTTTATCAAAAAGACCAAAGAGGCCAGGCGCGGTGGCCCAAGCCTGTAATCCCAGCATTTTGAGAGGCCAAGGCTGGTGGATCACCAGGTCAGGAGATCAAGACCATCCTGGCTAACATGGTGAAACCCTGCCTCTACTAAAAATACAAAAAATTAGCTGGAAGTGGTGGCGGGTGCCTGTAATTCCAACTACTTGGGAGGCTGAGGCAGAAGAATTGCTTGAACCCAGGAGGCGGAGCTTGCAGTGAGCTGAGAATGCACCACTGCACTCCAGCCTGGGCGAGAGAGCGAGACTCCGTCTCAAAAAAAAAAAAAAAAAAAAAGAAAAGAAAAGAAAAGAAAACAACCATTGTCCTGGAAGTAGAGAAAAGGGAACACTTACACACGAGTGGGAGTGTAAATTAGTCCAGCCATTATGGAAAACATTACGGAAGTTCTTCAAAAAATTTAAAAAGTGAAATAACCATGTGATTTAGCAGTCTCACTACTGGGCATTTATCCAAAGGAAATGGAATCAGTATGTCAAGGAGATATCTGCACTCCTATGGCTTTTTATTATTTTTTTTTTCAGCACTATTCACAATAGCTAAGATATAGGGTCAACTGAAGTATCCATCAATGGATGAATTAATAAAGAAAATGTGGCATGAATACACAATGGAATACTACTCATCCATAAGAAAGAATGAAGTCCTGTTATTTGTGGTGGCATGGATGAACATGGACAATAATATGTTAAATCAAATAAGCCAAGCACAGAAAGACAAATACTACATGATGTCACTCATTTGCAGAATATTAAAAAGCTAATCTCATAGAAGTATGGAGTAGAATAGTAGTTAACAGAGGCTGGGGAAAATAGGAGGAAGTGGGGAATGGGGAGAGATTGGTTAATGGGTACAGAATTACAAATAGATAGCAGAAATAAGTTCTGGTACTCTATTTCACAGTAAGGTGACTGTAGTTAATAATGTGGTATTGTATATTTCAAAATAACTAGAAGATATAATTTTGAATGTTCTCACCTCAAATAAATGATATCTTTGAGGTAATAATGTAATTACCCTGATTAGATCATGGTACAATGTATACATGTATTAAAACATTAGATTGTACTCCATAAATATGTACACTTATTACATGTCAATTAAAATAAAATAAAACTAAAAATAAATAAATAGCCTTAGTCCTTGGGGCTAGCAGAGGAAGATCATTAAGAAAAATGTAGCCCTCCAGTCTCTGATTTAAGAAGAGGAAAAGTCTGTGTGGGTGTGTATATGCTTGAGAGAGAGACTGAAATTGGTTTCATGTATCTTTAACCTACAGAGAAAAGGGAACACTTACACACGTGGTGTTTTATTATTTTTTCCTTTCTGTTCCCTTGAAAAAAATGTGGCATGTATACACAATGGAATACTACTCATCCATAAGCTTCCTAAAGCTTGAGTTCCCTTATCTAAAATGCAATGCTCATCAGAGGACCCACTTTGTGAGATGTTAAACATTAAGGTCCTTAGCACAATGCCTAATACATAGTTGAGTTCTCAATGAGCATTAGCAACTTATATCATTTTACATATTTTTGAGCATGGTATTATGATGCAATATGTACAACTGTGTGACACCAGCAAGAGGTTTATATAAGAGTGTAGCTTGACAGAAAGACAAGTGACACATGTTCTCACTCATATATGGGAACTAAAAAAGTTGGAGGAAGAGAATAGACTGATGGATACCAGAAGCTGGGAAGGGTGTCTGGGTGGCAGCTGGGGTGGAAAAAGAGGTTGGTTAATGGGTACAAACATACAGTTAGATAGAAGGAATAAGATCTAAGGTTTGATAGCAGAATAGGGTGACAAATGACAGTGTATTGCATATTTCAAAATGCCAGAAGAGAGGACTGAAAATGTTTCCAACACAGAGAAATGGTAAATATTCAGGGTGATGAACACTTGAAATAACCTGACTTGACCATTACACAGTCTTTGTACGTAACAAAATACCACATATTCCCTATAAATATGTACACATATTTGCATCAAATTCAAGAAAGAGGGTAGCTTCATTTCAGAGTTTGTCAAGATCTCCCATCCTAAGGTCGGACATAGTTATAAAAGTATTTACTTCTCCCTAACTCTATTACTATATTTTTGAACATGCTTATATTGTTTTTTCCAAAGTTGAAGTGTAATATTAATCATATAAGCAACTTGTTAGTAATCCAGATTCCCCGTCCTCCACCCAGGAACTTCTGATTTGGTAAGTTTGGGGTATGGCCAGGGAGTCTCACTTTGGAGAACACATCCAAGTTATTATCAACCAAGTTTGAGAAACATGGCTACCACAAGATTTAATAAAGGATAATACCATTTTTATGGTCTTATTTGAATAAAATTACAAACTACTCAAGGAATGCAGCAAAGACAGGGTGTTCAGAAAACATTCTACATGCCCTCACTTTCTCTCAGCCTCCCTTTAAGTAAGGTGAAGGCCAACAGGTTGCAACAAGTGCCATGGATCACCGCCAGGTCACCACATTGAAACAGGTAGGCAACTTCTTCATTGCTCTTTTCCCTTTCTGAGATGAGCCTTGAGGGCTCTGGCAACCTGGCTCTTGAGTAATTATAGAGAGTAGAGCACCAACCTCACCCTCTTTCCCCTGCACCCATAGTGTTCATGTAGCATAAGCAAGAAATAAATCTTTATTGCAATTCGTCACCACCATAACTGTTACAGTGGACAAATTTTCTGTTCATCAAATAGAACCTAAAGAAATAAGCACAGAGAAACTAGCTATTCAATAAACACTCATTGATTATACTGGGGGGAAAAGATATCACAAAAAAGTGCAGCCCAATGAGATGAAAAACAATACTAACTCATCTAAATAGGTGAAGGATGTGGCCTCGTTGGTGGTACATGAAGAAAAGGTCTAAGGTGGCAGAAAGGTTGGGAATGGGGAGACTGGTTAATTTCAAGGGAAACAGATACTAACCCACACAGAGCATTCTGACTAAACCTGTGTTCATCAAAGGGAATTCTGCTTTGTGCAATCAATCAACAGTTGCTCAGAAAACCACAATAAAATGAAGAATCTACCATATTTTTAGAATTTGGATGTGTGTCTGATTTCCAGAGAGCGGCTTCAAATATTTAAGCTGCTAACATCAGACCAACAATGAACTTAATGGTAATTGAAAACATCTTCGGTATAAATAAGAACACATTTTGCACACTTTATTTAAAAAGTTTACTCATGACTTAGACCAACACAGATGTGGCTTAGAGGCATTCTATAGCTAAAGAAATAGAACTTGATGGGAAAGAATAATACCAGAGAGGAAATGAACTGATATGATTTAAACTACAATATAACTAACATAGTAAATTATGTCAGCCATGGCTGCCTCAAGTAGAACATTACTTGATTTAAAGCCAGACAAGGCCACTGAATTATTTTCAGTTAATTATGAGCTAGCCATATGTTTCAATGAGAACAATGTGTTAATCAGTTACACTGACTCAATGGTGACAAAATAGTTGGTTTTTATTCTGTTGAATAAAGTGTACCTCATGGATTTAAGATTATGAATGCAATATATTTTGGCAGAGAACATCTTACTAAACGATTTGTGAAAATCCAAAAACAATATAAAGTCTGGCTATGTATGAGATTCTACGTCAAAGTACATGCTTTAGAAAAGGCATAAAGTCCTTCAGAATTACATGATAAGTCAGCAGTTTAGGAAATCTTTAAGTGTGAAACTCATCCTTATGTAGAAATAAATTTAACATCTGATCTGTATCACAGACATAGTGAAAATATTTAGAATGTATTTAATATATAATTGAGCAATTATATAAAACTGCCATTTTCATGCCTTATATCAAAAGAGACCAGTACTCTGCTATACTATGAAAACAAAAAAAATAGGAAGTACATTCTAATAATACACTCATACACCAAAACACTGGCTGTATATATAAGCAAAAAACACAAATAATACAAAATTGTAAGATATATTTTTATAAAAACATTTAGGCCGGGCTCATGCCTATAATCCAAGCACTTTGGGAGTTTGAGGAGGGTGGAACACAGGTGTTCTAGACCAGCCTGGGCAACATGAAGAGACTCCATCTCTCCAAAACATTTCTAAAAACTAGCCAGGCATGATGGGGTGCATCTGGAGTCTTAGCTTCTCAAGTGGCTGAGGCAAGAGGATCATTTGAGTCCAGAGTTGAAGGTTACAGTGAGTTATGATCACGCCACTGAACTCTATCCTGGGTGACAAAGGGAAACCCTGTCTCTAGATAAAAACAGAACAACAACAAAAAAGTGTAAAGAACATAGACACTTCCTTAGTTCTGAAATTACCTACTATGAGCATTCAGGTTTACAGCTGTGAAACAGTTCCCTTTTATTTAAAATAATCCATGTAGTCAATGTGAGAAGCAAAACATGAAAGACAAAAATAAAGTAGACTGACTTATTCATAAATTTGGTGCATTTAGGAAAATCCTTAGAAGACAGGATGTCTTCACTGAACTCATCTACCTATGCACAAGTTGTATATGTTATCCTGAAACAAAAACCCCAAACAACTATTCAAAACATCTCTTTCAAAAAGGATGTGCAGATATACAGTCATGTACCACATAATGACTTTTCTGTCATTGACAGATCATATATATGATGGTGTTCCCATGAGACTATGTTTAGAGATCTTTAGATACACAAATATTTACCACAGTATTACAGTTGCCTACAGTATTCAGTACAGTAACATGCTGTACAAGTTTGTAGACTAAGAGCAATAGGCCATACCATACAGCCTAGGTTTGGAGTAGGCTATACCATTTAGGTTTGTAGATGTATACTCAACGATGTTCACACAAGACAAAATCACCTGAGGTGACATTTCTCAAAAGGTATCCCCATCATTAAGCAATGCATGTCTATAATTAATGGTTTGTTGCTACTGAAACATATAAATCCTTGTATACCTTAATTTTTAAACATATGCTGATGTTTTCCAGTTCATGGAATTAATATTGATACATTTTCAATAAATCCTAGTAGAGTTAATTAAAATATTTGAAGCATGATAAATTTGTCAAGTTATTTTAAGATTAATACAGACTTCGAGAGTTCTGCCAGGCATGAATTTTCAACCTTCTTCCATCCAAAGTGTAATTAGAGACATTGAGTTTACTGAGGCTCCTTGGACATCTGTTTTGCTAAGCCCTCTCTTTAAAGCCTTGATCTTTGCCTCCCTAATTGCACATTTTATCAAAGCACTTTTGCTCCACTTTCCTAAGCCCTGTACAAATGTGGAGGTGATTCTGATTGAGATGAGTATGTGAGGCTCACTGATTTCATTGAAAAATTCATACTAGGGCAGAAGTAGGTGTACAGTTGCTGATTTATATGATTTTTAATGATCAATTTACTAACCTATCATTTTCTCTTACTAGGATATATACACATATATGTATATATACTTGCACATGTATATATTTTTGTTTATACACATAAACACATACATACATAAATATACATATGTGTACTTATATATAAAATATTTGATCCATGCTTAATAAATATTGGTGAAGAAAATTTGGTGACTATGGAAGTCAATCAAATTAGGTAATTTACAAACATTAGCCAGCTTTCTAATACATGGAGGAAAGGTAAATGTTTGCTTTTACATTTTGTACAGTCCTGTATGTATGTCCATGTATATTCTCTACATTATTTTTTCCCTAGAGAACCAGAGCCAGATTAAATTTTTTATGGGAAATACAAATCTCCTTTTAATAATGGATGGGCAGCAAGCTATTTCCTACATTTAATTACAGTAATCATGATTTGTTTTTAGTATATGTAAGGAATAACACACCTGACTTTTGAAAGAATATTACATATTTTTGTTAGAAGTATAAATTATTAAGGCATGTGTTATAACCATTTAGATTCAGAGCAAATAGGTTATAGAGTATTCTCTTATGATTTGTCTTCCTGAAATAATTTCTCTGAAAACAAAATGGCCCATAAGCTTATCATAGAATGTTATTTTCCAACTCCCATAAATACATAGTACCTAGCTACAAAAATATATATTGAAACTTGGGATTCCAGAAGACAGCTTTATTTTCTTATACATAAAATGAGAGAATTAAACCCAGTGATTTTCAAATTGCAGAGCACAGAGTTTCATGTATGTGTGTCCGAGGGGGCTTCTTAACATCCTCAGAAAGCTTCTGAGCTACCATGCAGATGGGTCTGCTCAACCTGCTCTGATCAGAAAAATGTTGCTTTATCTATTTAAGTTATATCTCTCTCTTCATTGCTTTCAACACGTATTTGTTGAGCAGTCATTGTACTAAGAGCTTTTCTAGCTGCCAGAAATAGAGAGATGAATGAGGCAGACAAAGGCTCCATTACAGAGTTTAAAGAGTTAATTCTAGATTTACACAACTAAATAAAGAAACTGGAAAACTCCTGGGCTATATATCTAATATTCCTTCTAATTATAAATTTCCTTTAAGTAACAATTGAATAGCAATTATTTGGCAAATCATTAGCAATGGGGAAGTTGTATCACTAAGATCTTCAACAGGATTTTTTCTCCTCTTTGTCTTCCTATCATCATCCTCAATATTACTCCAGTAACCTCTGTGCTCTTCTGGTGTGGCCTAAATATAACTTTAATTCTGGCATGCCTTTCAAACAGTTCCAGTTCTGAACCTAAGATTATTACAATGTTTTTAAAGGTAATGTAGTTTAAAGGAGGTTAAAACATTCAATCCATCTTAGGAGAAAAAACAAACTGTAAAGTATGAAACCTGACAATGATGTGTTATTTCCTTTTGGTTAAGTGATCACACACTAGAGGATATCATAGGCATTTTAGTAAAGTTAATCATTACTTATAATTCAAAAAAAAGGAGCACGTCAATGGTGTTGAATGTTCATAACTAGCTCTACATACCTCATAAATGTGTTCACAGATTGGTTGTGGGAATTGTTTGTGTTTCTTTAATCTATGGGTATTCATAAAACATTATTTTAAGGCAACACTTGCTACTTCAAGAAATGACTGATATATTATTTAGGATGGTTCTTGCCTGAGCATTTTTTAGTTACATTGTAAGGGACCTTCTAACATTGTGTTATTAACAGGAAGGAGTTTTTCTTACCCTCTGTGTAACCTGTTTCTTTGACTCTTGCAAATCCAGAGAAAGTATTTAATCATCTAATTGGAACCCTAAACAATGAAACTAAGTTGATTTTTCTACCAGATGTGTTTTACCCCGAATGTAAAGTTTTAAGGTGATTGTTTCTGTTGAAAAAACAAACTGGTATCAATGATCTAATCGCACATATTGTAAGAGATGAACAACTTCCCTTTGAATGGTAAAGACTGTGAATTTCATAATTTCTCATCTCCAATAAATTTCCATTAAAGTATTCGTACATCCTCTGTTCCCCAAAATTTCATTATAGTCTTCCTATTTATATTCTGAATTACATAACAATTCAATTTTTTATTTTGAATGTGCTAGTTAGCTGTATTTGTTCTTTAAAAGGAAAAATGAGAATAGAATAGCCTTTCTGAGAGGGATTTTAATACAAATTCTTACCTATTTCCCCAAACAGTGAAAGTAGGACAGACTAAAGAGACAAATTGTTTAGGTAAAGAAAAGCAATTAAAACACATATGTATTCTTAAATACGTACAAGTACATATTTACATTGAGAGAATCCTTCTTCAAATACTTAGGTATACAAATGAAGAAATCAGGATTTCACTGCCTCCCAATTTGTAATTCTTGTTTTAGTTTAGTTACTACTGAGTGAGCAGTATGTGCCAGGCACTACACATTATCCATGTTAGCTCATGTAGTCATTGCAACAGACATATTAAGTATTTTCAGAGAGTTTTAGAATTTTTAGTATCTGAGTTTGGCGATTGGAATTGATAAATGAAAAAGCTTAGAGAGAAAGTGAGGGGACACTGTGGAACCAAGGCCAAGTCTGTACTCACAACACCCCAGTAACATTTACAGCTCATACAACACATCTTGTAAATGGGTAGATTGAGGTCCTTATTCACAAAAAGTTGTTCTAGAAATTTCAAGGAAAATGCCATGTGAATAAATAGTTCAGGTGTTTTCTTTTCCAGGATAACTATGTTGATGCGTGATCTATGTGAAAGCGTTTGTGTGGCTGCTGCCCAAATAGCCCATTAACAACTGAATAGGTAGGACAAAGGAGGAAAAGGCATGATAGATGTGGTTGATACATAAACTGCCTGGCATCAGTTACCTTTTTCACTGAATATCTATTAAAAATGTAATAAGAAAATCATGGCATGAATCCTCTCGACAAAAGGGATAAACAAAAACAAACAGATGTTGCAATTCAGAATTTCTTAATAGGATCAAGTAATTTTATAACAGGAAGAGACACTGACTTTGGACAAAGTTATGTTAATTTTAAAATTCTTTGATAATTCATATAATTGTTATTTGTAAATAAAATGATTCTCAGTAGTTTTGAAAGAAAACCTGGTTAGGGTTAAATTCTAGGAAGTATACCAACCAAATTCCACCACAGGAAACTTTTATTGGTCTACACTGATTTCTTAGAAAGTAAACTTTTGAGAAAAAATTTAAAGAAAACAAAAATTGTACAATATTATTAAACATCTGAATCTTTGTTCTGTTTCAGCTGGAGTCTGCACTTGGAAATGTGTGAGGAATCCAGGACCTTATTCATACCCATGATATCATGATGGCTAATACATTAAATTGTACATAGTAAGTAATGATATAAATAGAAAGCAGATCATCAACCCAAGTATACTCAGAGGAAAAAAAAAGCAATGAGCAAGATAAAAAATAAAACAAATAGGACAAGATTCCTCACTCCATTTAGGAACATATTCTGTCTTTGCTAAATATTTTAACTTTCTAAACAAAACGTGTTATGCTTGAATGGTGTATTTTTCTTTACTTTTCAGTATTTTACTAAGAGATCTTCTATAGCACCCTTTCCTTTTGGGTAAATAAATAAAAGATAAATATCAAACAATTATATAATTTGAAAAAAATATAGGGGGATTGATAATACTATACTGTTTTAGTTACTATTTGGGGACTTTGGCTATAGCTATTTCATATTAACAAAAACCACATCTCACATTGACTGAGCTCATGCTTACTATGTACCAGCCATGGTTTCTTCACTTCATTTAATCGTCACCGCCACCCAAGGAGCTAGTTACTATTACTACACCTGATTTGCAGATGAGAAAACAGAGATACATAGAAGTAAAGTAATTTGCCCTTCCATGTGGTAGAGGAGTCTGCACCTAGACATCTGTAAACCCATGTTCTTAACCATTCAACGACATTGACCATATTAACTTTACCTGAATTCTTTTGGGATACATACATCAAAATGTATACAGATATAACAGAAAGTCTTCTCTGATGGTATAATACTACATTTTATGGCCTAGCGTATTGTCATTTAGTTTAAAAATTTTTTTTGAGGAGTAATACACAGTGATTCACTGTATCTAGAAAAATAACATTTATGTTAACATGGTAGTAGAGAATAGTGAGCTTCTGACATGGTTTCCGATAATTTGCTGTCTAATCAAAACATATTTGAGGAGAAAATAAAGTCTATTCCTCCTTGAACATAAATGTACAGTGAGACTGACAGCTTTACAGCATTTGAGGTTTTTGGCCACAGTAACTGCCAAATCAGATTGATGTGTGACCTAGTCAATTGCCCACCAATTGTTCTAAATTGACTGGAATCCAGGCAATTTCTAAATTTTATGGGCCACCATGAAAAGAAACATCATTTCTGCATCCTACTGTAGACTAAGGAACAAAGCCCACATTTTAGGGAGGACTGGCCCTCTACGAAGTGACATCCAGGGTTGTGGGACTTGAAAACACCTTAGTTGAGATCTGAGGCCTGGAAATGAATTGGTAACACATTCCCTCCCCTAAATGTCCTCTGCAAAGACATATTCTTATGGACTCTGAGATGGAGCAAGAAGCAAGTTCATCCAGTGGACTCAATGGAGAGCAATGACAAAGCCATGAACATGAAAAGACTGTGGCCTTTCTAGAGATTCACTGACCAAGGACTGGACAAACAAGTGACATCAATGGAACCTCCACACTTCTGAATGTGTGTGTGTGTGTGTGTGTGTGTGTGTGTGTTTTGTGTGTGTGTGTGTGTGTTTGCTTGTCTGTCACAGAGAATGATTGAAAGAGATGGTTAATGTGACTAAATGCATATAGTCTTAAAATGAATGTCACTGTGTGAGAGAAATATTTTCACTATTCAGACTTTGTTGACTCTCAGCTACCTACGTCCAATACTCAGAGCCCAGACTCCCCACCACCTTTAGTCCTAATAATCCACAGCAATCACTTAGCCAAGTTTCAGGTATAAATTAAGAATTTATTACAAAATCTGATTATTATTGTTGCTGTTTTACTCATTTCTTTATGCAATGTTTGCAGTGCTTGAGCCAGAGACTAGTGGCATTGGTTGTAAAGGAAGAGATAGTAAAGAGGGGGCCAATGCAACTTTCAGCCTTAATTTTCGTACACCTCTGTTCTTGCCCACTCTTTCTACATATCACTGGCAGCTCCTTTGAAAGCCATTATAAGAACACATACGTCACATAGCAAGTGAGAGTTAAAGTGAACAGGATTCTACTCTTCACAACTGTTAGGTTACACTTAGAAGGCAAAACATTGGCAATGAATTCCAGCATAACAGTCATTTAAAGGTCTGTACAGACCCTGGTATCTAGGAGCAGTTTCCCTCATTTATCTTGTCTTTACCTCAAATACTCCCACCTAAAAATAAGCTGTTAAATGTATAAACAACCAAGTTCAACAATTGACACACATACGAATACCTTTGCTAAGTATGTAAGAGAAAGAATGATGGAAAAATATTCTTTAATCTCCTGATTATCATCTTAAAAATGAATAGACTTTCATCTGAAATTATTTTTTCTTTCCATGTTTCTTCATTACCTATATATTCATTGCAGTTTTGCACTTCCTAATTTACTCCCTATTTGGAGAAGAGAGACTTGAATATTTGTAACCCTCTATTTTAACCTCTGATTTCCAGTAAGTTTTTATTACAGTAGAATTCTAACCAAAACTGCACAAATGCCACATGAAGTTTGTGTGTGTGTGTGTGTGTGTGTGTGTGTGTGTGTGTGTGTGTTTTAGACGGAGTCTCGCACTATCGCCCAGGCTGGAGTGCAGTGGCGCAATCTTGGCTCACTGCAAGCTCCGCCTCCCGGGTTCACGCCATTCTCCTGCCTCAGCCTCCCTAGTAGCTGGGACAACAGGTACGTGCCACCATGCTCGGCTAATTTTTTGCATTTTTAGTAGAGACAGGGTTTCACCATGTTAGCCAGAATGGTCTCGATTTCCTGAACTCGTGATCCGCACGCCTCGGCTTCCCAAAGTGCTGGGATTACAGGCGTGAGCCACCGCGCCCAGCCTAACATGAAGTATTTTATAACCTATTTTATTCTATAATAAGGAAACTATAGCAACACAATTCACTTTACGCCGTAAACCATCATCATTTATTTTTTGGGAGGTATTATATATTTTGCATGTAATTACAATAAACGTGGTTGGAAACATGACAAATTCAGTTATTTAGTATCCTTACTAAGCAGTTTTGGATATTACTTATGTTAAATTTTGAAATATTATGTTTGTAGCTACTCTGGCAATGATGTGTCACCTTTAAAGACAATGACTGTGAGTTTAATTTTATTAGCTACCTGGTTTATCAATAATTAAATTTGCCCTATGTAACCTCATAAAGAATAGATCTAAACAATCATGTCAGAAATTAATGTTTACATAGTTAGCTTTGCATAATTACTTTATTATTAAAATTAAAAGCACCCACAAATGTGGCATGATGACTTATTATTCTTAGAATAAACATAAAAGCAAAGTTATGTATTATCTGAAAATATCCGCTAAAGGAGATAAACAACAACAAAAAGCCTCTTAAAGCAAAAGTACTACTTTGTTCTACACAACTGATGAATCACTTTATTGATTAGACTGTGGCTTTCATTTTAATATCAACATGGATCTATCCAGGTTTATCAAAACTGGGATGAGACTACATTTTGCTAATAAAATGAACAAAGCTTTAGAATTTTAAAAACATTTAAAAATGTCCCCTAAAATGCTAAAATAATTTATGGCTCTGTACTGAGTGCTTTTAAAAATAAAATACATCTGTACTACAATATGGAAAATATGAAAATACATATATATACTTCTTCTTTTATTAATCTTTAGGTGATATGTACTCTGAAATTTTTCAATGATAGGTATTATAGTTAATTAGATTTAACCTAACCTTAATATGCTACAGTGGAGATATAATTCAGTTGTCAAAGTTGTAACTACCTCACATGCCACAATCTCCAATAAGAAGTCAATATCATTGTCTAAATTTTACCATTGCCTTAATTTCAAAAGTTAAGCCAGAATTTTACCCTATGGAAAGATTTTCCAAAGTTTATATAGTACTCGAGTGAGTAATTTCTTACATAATTGTACTAATAAAAATGTTCACTTCGTTTGCAAGTGGTGAGATTTTAGACTCTTTTAAACAGGAAAACATGATGAAGATTACAAAATTAAGTTAGTCTGACTCAAAATGAGATGTTTGATAAAATATGGACTTTTGTGCAATAGTTGTGTAGTGTTAATTGTATGGGAATCGTCATAAATTTCTGATATCTCTTATCTGCCCAGTTGTAAAGGTATTGACTACCTGTGGTGATACATTTTATACTTACTAAATGAGTGTTTTCCCAATCATAAGTCTCAGTGAATTGGTGTGTCATAAAATCAATCCAGTCAGTTGCAATCAGCATTTTTTAAATGAAATAGAAAACAGAAGAAAAAAAAATCACAGTGCATTATCCATAGCCAAGGTAAGTATTATTTTATGAAGCTATTTTCAATTACTTATGTAAGTAGGTACATATGTATATAAAATATAAGTGTAATGGATATGTATATTATATAATCATATATAAGTACACATGTACATATAAACATATAGGTGTATAATATATGCATGTGTATATATGTATATGCATGTATGTGTGTATATATGTATATCCTCCAACATGATTTACCTTAAGATCACTTATCATCTCCTGATACGCTTCCCTTGTTTATTGTTTATCTCCCCTGACTAGAACATAAGTGCTTATAGTATCACAGTACGAATCATAGTGAGTGCTCAGTGAATGTTCCTTGAATAAATGAATTCATGACTACACATAAACACACCTACGCACACATTCTGGGTTGCGATGTAAAATACATCTTTTTCTGTAAGTTGGTGGCAAAAAATGCTAGAAATATCATTGATCAGAACCAAACTCTGATGTTGAGAGAGTCAGTTGCTTTTAAAACAACTTCTAGCTTCTTTGAATCACTACTGTCCTCCCCTCCATCTAGTTAAAATTGAAACTTACGAAGTTTTTTCCGTAAAATCTACAACAGAGTGTAAAGAAATATCCAAAGGGATCACACCACAGGGAAGATATTGTATCTCATGAAATTGGTGGCTCAACCAGGAAGTGCTCAAAATGTAAATGACTTCTTTCATCCATGTCCTCATTCAGCAGCCATATGACAGGGTCACAGGAAACAGCTGCAGAAGAGAAATGCTTCAGGGGAGCACAGGTAATTAGAAAAGGCAGGGAGGTACTGAATAGAATCTACTACACTATCAGAATCAAAAAGGAAAACCAGACTCCAAAAGTATTGTCGGTTGCTTTATCATAAGACAGTCTTGTGAGTGGGTACAAAAAGAACTGCCACAACCAGCTTGAGGTGTTCCAATAGCCAAGGGAGGGATGGGTCTATGGAGAGGGGTGAATAGTAGAGGATGAGACAGAAAGAAGAAATGAGATCCATGACAGCCAAGTGAAATAAGAAAATAAGCATAAACTTCCATCTGGTGAGGCTGGGGAAGAGGAGCTACTAGAGAATTTAAGCAGGGTGGGGACACAAGTCACATAGGAATTTTTAGGAGATCAATCAGGCAGCAAAACCAAAAACAGTGGGGAGGGTTTTCAACACATTGCCAAGCAAATCAGTTAGGAAGTTGCTACAGAAACTCAGGTTAGCAGCTGGGCGCGGTGGCTCACACCTGTAATCCCAGCACTGTGAGAGGCCAAGGCCGGCGGATCATTTGAGGCCAGGAGGTCAAGACCAGTCTGGCCAATAGGGTGAAACCTCGTCTCTACTAAAAATACAAGCAAAACAAAACAAAACAAAACAAAAATAGCTGGGTGTGGTGGCGTGTGCCGGTAATCCCAGCTACTTGGGAGGCTGAGGCAGGAGAATTGCTTTAGCCTGGGAGGCGGAGGTTGCAGTGAGCTGAGATTGCACCATTGCACTCCAGCCTGTGCGACAGAACAAGACTCTATCTCAACAACAACAACAACAACAAAGTCAGGTTAGAGATGAAGAAAGAATGTAGGTGGCAAAGAGATTACAGAAAAGGCCTGGATCTGAGAGATAATAAGAAAGACGATCATAAGGACCTGGGGACTGATTGGATGGGAGTGGGGTTGAAAGCAAAAATAAAAGTAAATGGGAGAAATCTAGGATTACGCTTTAGTTTGTTGCTTAAGAGCTTGCACCAGTATCTATTTATGTGTCAGCCTTTACCAATAGATACTCAAACATAGACCATAGCATCTTATTCATAATGGTATAGTTAGCCTGTTACAAAATATGACATAGTAGGTACTCATAAATGCTGGCCTCAGATGAGCTAAAATAGCAGTAGTTTGAATCTCAAAGACCCATATGGAATTAGATATTGGGGACATTTGCAGAATTGACTTCAACACACTTACTACATTCCTTCTTACTTCTCTGTTTCTTTATAATCCTCTCACACACCACCTCCATCCTCTCCCTGAACGTGGCAGGACAGCGGTTGCACAGAACTTCCTCAGGAATTAGACTGTTCTCTAGGACTTGCCTTCTTTTCTAGGACTATTTATTTAAAAGATGCCATCTGAGGACTGTTGTGGAGAGGGAGAGGTAAGTAATCTTAAGAAGCTTGCTAGAGAGGACCTCAAATAGCTTGGGTCAACATGAAAAGATTGAAAGTGAATGTTAACACTAATTTCAGCAACCATCTTCAAAAACTGGAATGTAAGAAACACATTGCTTAAAATACTTCACATTATATAAATTGTTTAAAATACATAAAAATAAAGTTTATTCATTTAATTGTCCTTTTCTTTGAACTAAATGGTAAACACATATTATTTACTTTTGTATTTTATGCTCTTTAGAATAAGAAATACAACCAATACAAAAATGTGGGAATTAAGGTATAGGAATGAAAAATAATACAACAGTAATTGAATAGTAAATGGAAACACATTTTATAAATATTAACTCAGAAGATGCATTTGTTCTGTAAAAAAAAAAAAGTTCTGGAAGACCTAGTACTTTCAAGGCAATACACTAGACCCTTTAGTGGGACCAAAGAAAGGCAACTTGGACTCTGCCTTCTGAGGCTAATGGGCTACAGTATTGGGAATCAGTCAAGCTCATTGAAAATTGTAATAAAATATACAATGCCATAAGTGATACTAGAAAAAAAAATACTCCAAGTGCCACAGGAGTGGCTCCAAAGAGAGAAAAGAATATCACTGAAGAGACCAAATAAGCCTTATAAGGAAGGCAGAATTTGAGTTGTATTTGGAAGGAAAATAGGATGCTGGCAGGTGGCAGCCAGGATTGCAGGGAGGTGACACTATCCCCAGAAGTTGCAGGGAGGTGACAGTGGGATACTGGTAAGTCCCATTGTGTATAGCAGGGGCCAGAAAGATGGAGCACATGCCCATAATGTTAAAGGAAATGAGGTTTAGAAGAAGTTTGAAGCCACACAGGGCAGTGGTGATGAAGGCTGTGAAAATTGAACGCTATTCTAAAGGGTAAGGCATTATTGGCCCCAAAAGGAGTGCATCCAGCTGACCGAGGGGTCTTCCTACTGCAACAGGCATTAAACCTTTTTACCTCCACCATCATTCTGCCATGTCTCCCCCCAGGGTATGTGCCCACTACCTGTTAGAGAGATACTCAGTAATGACGGGGGTGTTTCTGTGCTGCAGGAATACAAGGAAGGAAAATTCAACCTATTGGGTGAAGACCTGCTTAGGGATGTGGGGCAAGGCCCTTTCCAAATCTTCTACAATCCATGGAATGTAAGCTGCATGCAAGCAAGGACCTGGCATTGTTTACTGCTGCTGCACCACCCCCAGAGCTTAGCTGACAGTGCCTCAGCATCATAAGCATTCAGTAAGCAGCTGGCATATGAATAATTTTCCTTATTGCAATTTTTATATCCAGTTATTTTTGCTCCCAAAGCAAATTGTGAAGAACAAAAAACAAATATATTGCGGGTAACAGTCATATAAAAGTAGACATTGTATTCAGATGTCATATCCGAATAAGACTTTATAATACAGATATTTCAAATTTTAAAGCAGTCTGTACTCATAAGAATGGAAGACATGGCTTAATAATTAAGCCAGATTATATCATAGATTTCTAAGACATTCTGTCTGAGAAGGTACAATAAATACAGTGTGGAAAGTCCTCCTGAAAATATTAGGAAATAAAAAAGAAGTAGAAAATATTATATTGCCTGTTTTAAAAAATAAATTATATATTCATTCAAGAAGTATTAAAAAATTAAAGAAATGGCAAAATATCAGTACAAATCTCTAATATTTTTAGGTCCTGCTGGAGTTTGATTTGTTTGTAAAATGGGTCATTTAGAGGATTGACAGTTGGATTAAATGGGAATGCAAATTCATAGTTTTGTTTTTGTTTTGTTTACAGAGAAGTAGCAGGTAGATCACAAAAGAAACTAAGATTTGGGATTTATTAGATTACATATTATAGATGTAATGATGTACATCTAGTTGATCTTCCTATCCAGTGAATGAATCATTCCTTGCATTGAATTATCATTTTGTATTAAATTGAATATTTCCCATCACATCAACTCATAACTTCAAAGGGCAGACTTTATCACTGGACACCTCAAATACTTTGTGCACTGTCCTATGGTTAACTTAAATGTGCCTCTACTGCACTACAACATATTTAACCTAGATGTGGGCAAACCATATAATTTCTTGTCCAAACAAGAATACCTTTGTCAGTTAAAAACTAATTGATGATTACACAGACATAAAAGATGACTGCCCAGGAAAATGTGAACATATGATTGCCCTCCTTACCTGTATATCTGAGCTATCAAAAACCATCTTTCTTTGGTCTTTCACATGATAGACTTTGAACTGCTTAAATCCTTAGTGTCTATGTGTCTTCTTTCCATTAACCCACATAAAAATTTTCATTGAAAGTCAGCACATGTTGTGATAGGAACTAGATTCAAATGGAGTCCATTGTCCGTGCACTCATTCTACATTCCATTTTATTGATATTCCCCTTAAAATAAGCTGCTTGGAACAAGACCTATTTTAAATTTGACTTGACAAGTACAAAGTAAAATGGAACTTGACTTCCTATGATCTAATGATAATAGCTAATAATAGGTAATATTTACTGGGTGCTTATATATGTTGGGCTCTGTATTAAGTTATATGTATCTCTATATTTCCATCAATCTATGTATTGATATAGCTGTCCTTCTTAACCCTATGATTATCCTTTTATTTTACAGATCAAAAAATTGAAATAGCAAAAAGTTAAATATCTTGTCAAAAGTCTTGTCCAAAAAATATGGTAATGTAACTTTTTCACTTTTTTTTTTTTTTTTTTTTTTTATTGAGACGGTCTCGCTCTGTCACCCAGGCTGGAGTGCAGTGGCACGATCTCAGCTCACTCCAACCTCCACCTCCTGGGTTCAAGTGATTCTCCCGCCTCAGCCTCCTGAGCAGCTGGGATTAGAGGCACCCGCCATCATGACTGGCTTTTTTTTTTTTTTGCATTTTTGTAGAGACAGGATTTCACCATGTTGGCCAGGCTGGTCTCGAACTCCTGACCTTAGGTGATTTGCCTGCCTTGGCGTCCCAAAGTGCTGGGATTACAGGCGTGAGCCACCACGGCACCCAGCCAGCCTTCACTCTTTCAGTCAAGAAATACTTATTGATCATGGAGAAAAGTTTGTCTCTGATTGGTTGAAAATGATCTCCAGGTTATCCTGATATAGAAATCAGCAGATCTACTAGTCTTAAAAGAAAGTCTATCAAAGGAGGAATTAGCTAGTTTTCCTTGTGCAATAACTATTCATCTGTTGGTACTTAAGATATAAGGAAAAATGATGCCTTATTTGGAAGACATTGTTTTAAAACTTTCCTCTAACCAGTAACTTACTTATCTACTCTAAATAGTTCTCTCATTTAGTTATAGTTGTAGGATTTGCATTAATATGGTATCAGGAAACCAGATATTAAATTATTAGAGAAGCAGGTTAATAGGTATTTTTCATTACACTATAATCTGTGCAGAAACCAACTGGATGAAGTAAGCTGACTATCTGATATCTAGTTTGTAATTAGAAGGCCCAACACACATGAAATGCATGAAAACAACAGCAACAAAAAAAAGGTAGGGATCCATCCTTTAGGATTGCCATTTCTTCTTTTCCCCATGAAGCAATTGCAGCATAGCAGGTAGTAAAGCCAGGGTTCAAATCCAAGCAGCTTGAGTTCAAAATCCAAGTTTTTGAATTTACAAAACCTCACTGAGTTGAAATATAGCAGCAGCAGTATTCCAAGAATGTCGCCTTACAAACACCTGTGTTTATTCATTCACTCACTCTTTTACTAAGTATTTATGTCTACCAGTTACGAGGTGGATACTGTGCTAAGGCTGGATGCTCACTAGGCACTGATAAATTCTTAATGAAATATGGATTCCCAAACGGTTGTTTGCTCTTCTCCACATTTGCGTATAACTCTTTCAGTGTTTTTATTTTCATTTTTTTAATCGTGCAGAGAGCGTACTTCTATTGTTGCTATGTCTTATACTGCGATTTTTCCATAAGGCTGATATTAGTGACGATAGCAGCGATAATGAAAAATATCTGGCCAAGAAAAAAAAGGTACCTCACTGTATATTTGCATTAAAGAAGATCATCAACCTCCAAATGTTATGATTTGGACAATAAAGGAGAAGTGTCTCTGCCACTGGGCTGTGACAGACTCTGTAAGCTAAAGATTGTAAGTCTATACCTAGATTTACCTATTCCTACATCTCCTATACTTGGTAGCAAGCAAGGCCTTCCTCATCGAATTCCCATCCCAGCAATCAGAAAGTGTAAGCCCTGGCAAGGAAGAAGCTCAATAGCTATCTGTCGAATGAGTGAATAAATGAATGCTCAGTCACGTATATAACAATGTGAAATCAGCCTATGTAGACTGTGCCATGGCCATTCATATTGCTTGATAATTTGTTACTTTAACAGCTGAGTCCTTTCAATCCCTTTGCCTTTTCAAAAAGGCAAAGAAAGTACATTTCTGTCCTCAGAGACGTAAACCAAAGACATTAACAGAGGACATGCATCAGTTTTCTTTCAAAGTTTTTAATAATCCATTTGAGGTTCTTGGAAGGGATTGGCATTAAATTTGTTTGTCTATACAGAGTGTACTCCCATTTCCCTATTTGAAAATCAAGAATTTTGTCTGTATTCTCCTGCCATTTTTCTATTCCAGATTTTTTGCAAAGAAATACAAGTAATGATTTTTGTTATCACTTTGGTTTAAGTATGTTCTAATCAGAGTACATAGATAAATGTCTATTGCATTCTTCTTCTCACTTCACCTGCTTTTGAGAAGACATTTAAAAAAGTATCTGTTTCTCGTATCTAGATATAGAGATATTAGTGTCCCCCTTGTAGAATGACTATCCATCTGTTGGCAGCACCTGAGTTTTAATTTGCCTGTATGCATGTATGCATGCTTAGGTTTGAAAGTCAGTCATGAAATTAATGGGATAAAATATTAATCTTACTTCACAATTAGTTTTATCCAATTGAGAGATAGAGCAGTGAGATGCTTATGAGCACAGGCCCTGGAGCCTTGATGTGTGACCTCAGAAAAATTATTTAACTTCTCCATGTCTCAGTTTCCTCACCTGCAAAGTGGGGACAATAATACCTATGTAGTTAAATATTATGAAGAGTTAACACATGGAAAGCTGTTAGAAAAGTGACTGGTATATAATATGTACCAAATGTATTAAATAGAGCACCAAATACTTAAAACAACTAATTGAAATACTAAAATATATACATGCATGTCTGAAAGTTTTCTGCTTTAGTGATGCAATATGGCTAACAAGAAATAATACTGACTCAGAGGCTGGGCGTGGTTGCTCATGCCTGCAATCCCAGTATTTGGGAGGCTGAAGTGGGCAGATCGCTTGAATTTAGGAGTTTGAGACCAGCATACCAACAGAGTGAGATCATGTCTTTACAAATAATAAAAAATTAGCTGGGTGTGGTGGTGTGTGCCTGTGGTCCCAGCTACTCAGGATGCCAATGTGGGAAGATTGCTTGAGCCCAGGAGGTTGAGGCTACAGTGAGCTGTGATGGTGCCACTGCACTCCAGCCTGGGTAACATATGGAGAACTTGTCTCAAAAACAAAAAAAGAAAGAAAGAAAAAGAAAAAAGAAAAAAGAAAAAGGAAATAATACTGACACTCAGGCCTGTGTAATGCCAGTGGAAAATGTTACCAACAAAGAGTTAAATGTTTGCATGGACTTAGCTGGTGTTAGGTATATTTCTAAATTTTAGTATCAGATCTACTAGAAACCGAAAATGTATATTTTCTTTCATTTCTTGACATGTAGTGTGTACTTAACAATTATTCTTTGTGACTTTGTCAGTAAAAGAGAAAGTACTAAGTTATAGCATTTAAATAGTGTTTTTAAAATAAAATAATGAAAGAAGTATGCCATGTATGTATTTGGGTCTTGCATCCATATTTTATATTTTTCATGATTGATTAATACTACTGAAAAATAAGTTTCCTAGAGAAGGTGATGTATTCTCTACAATTCTTTCTATCTCATCTTCCCCCAAGATTATTTATATGAGTAATCATTTAAGATTTTCAGTTTCCCTTACATAAGATGTCAGAAAGTGGCTGTAGAAGAATATGCTGAAAAATAACAGCACCCCCTGGAGCTGGACTTTCTAGGGTCTTTCACATTCAAGGTTAATGCCAAACTAATTATCCACCCATTCTAAATGGCAATGAGGGATAATCAAACTGCAATTCAGTCATCTTCATTTTAATATTTCATGAAAGTTCAGAAAAGGATCCCTGAAAACATAATGTTTCCTCAATTTGTACCCAAAACAGTATTTGTATTGGTTGTGAAAATGTAAAATTGTTCTTCAGAGCCATGGTGGACTTTTTCTGGCAATAAAAATCTGGTTTTGCCTGAGAGCTCGAAACCATTAGTTTAGAATATTTTATCGTTGTCAAATAGACTAGGAGTATAATCATGATTTGAAAGGATTTCTACAGGCAAAACAGAGACTGACAATGTACCTTTCCCTTTCTATTTATGTATTTTTTAAATGAGGATACATTTTATTCTACAGAATGTCCATTATAGGTGAATCACATGGGGGCCATTAACTTTCCCAAACCTTACAATCTCAGGATTTAAAGCAAAAAGGAACAAGGAGTCTATATTAAAAATTTCCTCCAGAAAAAGATTAGGCAAAGAGGACCTTAGGCAGTGCAGGAAACGAGAAGACAAAGAGCTGAAATGCAGATACGATTTTTAAAATACAGTTTACTCGGCAGTTCCTGCCATCGCCATGCTCTTTGATAGCACATTTAATTGAGAGAGGAGACTTCTCTCTCAAAAGGAGAAGAAGCCAGATACATATGTGTACAAATACATATACATCTCAATTATTTCACCTACTGGAATATCCCGAGGTCTGGGCATCCAGCTACCCATGGTAGGTACTCAATGAAACACAGTTTAATAAATCTCTAAATTAACCTCAAGCCAAATGAGAACTGCAAAGCTTTTTAGCCTATAGGTGATAACATGAGATGGTTTTATGTCAGGTAATAAGGACTCTGATGGAACAGTGAGAAAGAAGGGATAATAACTGAATGCTTTTCCTGTTATTAGAATATACAGAGGAGAATCCATTAACTGATGGATTAAATGCTCATCTATTCGAAAGTATGAAGTAAGTGGTCCATATATACTTAATGCCCATGTTTTTATTATTATTATTATTACTATTATTTTGAGATAGAGTCTCACTCTGTCACCCAGGCTGGAATGTAGTGGCTTGATCTTGGCTCACTGCAACCTCCACCTCCTCATTCAAGTGATTCTCCTGCCTCAGCCTCCCAAGTAGCTGGGATTTCAGGTGCACACCATCACACCTGGTTAATTTTTGTATTTTCAGTAGAGACGAGGTTTCTCTATGTTGGCCAGGCTCGAACTCCTGACCTTAAGTGATCTGCCTGCCTCAGCGTCCCAAAGTGCTGGGTTCACAGATGTGAGCCACCACTCCCCAACATGTTTTAATTCTTTTAAGCTCCTGTTTTCCCCTCGTCTTTTCCTCTAGTGAAGATCATATCAGTCTAAAGCAAAGCTTCCCTGTGAGGTCAGGTCAGATAGGTGGATGTAGAAATCATATCCCCGTTTTTTTTTTTTTCTTTTTTTTTTTTTTTTTGAGGCGGAATTTCCCACTGTCGCCCAGGCTGGAGTGCCATGGTGTGATCTCGGCTCACTGCAACCTCTGCCTCCTGGGTTCAAGCAATTCTCCTGCCTCAGCCTCCCGAGTAGCTGGGATTACAGGCGCCCAGCACCACACCTGGCTAATTTTTGTATTTTTAGTAGCTACAGGATTTCACTATGTTGGCCAGGCTGTGCTCGAACTCCTGACCTCGTGATCCACCCGCCTCAGCCTCCCAAAGTGCTGGGATTACAGGCATGAGCCGAAATCATACTTTTAAATCATGAATAAAAAAAGGAAGGTTACATAAACCTGCTTAGCAGCACATTTTTCAACTCACCCACTCTCTAACTCACTCACTCAGAGACCTTTCTACCCAGATTGAGTGTCCCCTTTAAAACCAGACTCTGCTTATCCTTTGTAACTTTTTTCTGGAGACGTTTTAGATAGAGTATTTCCCCACTCTTAGAAAGTTTAACATAGAATCCTGCTAAAAATGAGTATGAGCTTCCCAGAGTGTAACTTAAGATGCAGCCAAACACAGTTCCAATTTCTTCTCCACATACAATTCAACAAATGCTTTGACCTGTGGTGAATTTACTGTTCTCTGAAAACCTCAATTGTAATTATATTAGCAACATGCCACTTAGCATTAATTACTTAGCATCTTGTAAATTTCCTCTGCTAGACTGGAATAGAAGGTCCTGTGATCCTTGATGCTTAGTAACTGTATTTTATTTCTTCTTTCTGTTTAGCCCAGACAAGATAAATAACAGTATTTATTCAATTTAGTACTTGATTATTTGTTATAAGTTACATAGTAGATGGAAGGTGGCTGCTACACTATTATAAGAATGAGAAAGCGTAATTTAAAAATTCATTAAAAATGGCTTTTGGTGATTCTCTCAAACAACCTATCCCTGGAAGTTCAATCTTCTAAAGGTAGTGTTAAGGTGGTTTCTTCCTAAAAGATGCTTTTTTTTGGAGGGGAGAACACCTGTAGGTTAACATGGAAGGAGCTACTAGGTAGATGAATTGAATTTGCTATGCAGACATTTGTGAAATACTCTTTCTCTTAAGCCCATCCTCCATTTCTCCTTCCTCTGTTTATACTCCTATGAGGATTATTTTTTAAATGGACAGGAGTGATTAGAAAAAGCTGCTAACTACGCTTATACTTTAAATTAAGCTAACCCTCATTTTGGCATTTTCATTTTTATCAATCAAAGATAAAAAACAGTAACAGTGAAAAAAATAAAACCTTATGAAGACATTCTTTATCTTCACTACATGGGGCTGGGGAGCTATTTCCCTCTCTGCTTCCCCCCTCCTAAGGCCATCTGTGACCCTACAAGCTGCCATTATAACCTACAAATAACTCAGGCAGGACCATGTAATGGCTTCTTCTTGAACTCACTCCTTTTCCACATTTTTTAGACAAATCACAGAAGCCAGATCATAAAGAGTAAGCAGAATGTAGTGACTTCAATTCCAACGGGCCCTGAAAATGCTCTCAAATTTCATGCTTCCCTGATCAGCTTTATTTATAAGAAAACAGATCTCTATAAGCAAATAGTTGGATTTGAGCTGCCAACAAATCTCAGCAACGTTACTTTTGGTCACTTTATAAAGATTCTGATGTCTCTTTTTTTTTTTTTTTACCAATATTTGGCAGTTTCTAAGTAATATCTCAAAATGAAGCTTGAAAAATCAATAAAATATGTATATCTATAAATAGTTCAGGGACCCATTTTTCCAAAGTGCACGTATATTCAGCAAAGATTGCTGGAAGGTATCAAGGAACTTTTCGGTATAATTTCAATAATTGTAAACACAATCAAAACGAAATCACAGTTTAACCTTATATGTTCTCATGATGATTCTTTGCACTCAAAGATTTCTAAAGCTTTCAAGATTTTTGAAAATTTCTAAGTAAGTGTATGAAGAGTAGAACTGTTGCAAATTGAGGTGTCTCAGACACAGTGGTGACCAAAAATTATGGTGACTTCAGAATCTCAATGTTTATTCTTCATTGGTGAGAAAAAGAAATGGGAACCATATCAAAAACAAAATAACAGAAAGCTATTAACATCTACAGTTTTGAGTCATTAAAATATCAGATTAATTTCATCCTATTTGAATTAGCATTTACTTGTATTAAGGAAAATACAAATGGGTGGCTGGCTGCCAGTTCAGTAGTGGCAATATGGGAAAATCATAGAATTTTGCAGTCATGAGACTTAGTTTAGCTCTGCTGCTGAAAGCTTTATGATTTTTTTTAAGTCACATTTGCTTTAAGCCTCACTTTTCTGCATCTCAAAAGTAGGTTTAATAATGCCATATTCAACCACATAAAATTGCTGCTTTTGTGACTCCACAATGGTCAAATATCAGCAATTTCATATAATTCACCCCATACCTCACTGAATGATCAAATGTGACAATGTACGTGAAAATACTCATTAAGTGAAAGGCTAATGGAAACTTAATGTGAAGGCACTCACTTGAAATTAAAGTTGTACTAATTCACCTGAGTCCCATCTCTTAGTTGAATGTAAAGAGGAAGAAGAGTAACAAAGTGAAAGATTTCTAAGGTGGAGATGGTTTGAAAACAGGACACATCCTAAGTATTCATAACAGAGACATCATGATATGCACAGAAACAAGCCTGGACTCGATGTGTTAACATCACCATTAAGTTTTATAATTGACCCTTGAATACTGTGGGGGTTAGAGATGCCAACCACTTACACAGTAAAAAATCCACATATAACTTTTTTATTTATTATTATTATTATTATTTTGAGATGGAGTCTCGCTCTGTTGCCAGGCTGGAGTGCAGTGGCACGATCTCAGCTCACTGCAACCTCTGCCTCCCGGGTTCAAGTGATTCTCCTGCCTCAGCCCCCTGAGTAGCTGGGACTACAGGTGTGCAACACCGCACCAAGATAATATTTGTATTTTTAGTAGAGATGGGGTTTCACCATGTTGGACAGGATGGTCTCGATCTCCTGACCTCCTGGTCCGCCTGCCTCGGCCTCCCAAAGTGCTTGGATTACAGGTGTGAGCCACCGCGCCCAGCCCACATATAACTTTTGACTCCCCAGAAGCATAACTATTAAAACCCTACTGCTGACTAGAAGCCTTACTGATAAGACGAACAATCAACACTTTTTAAAATTATATGTACTATATTTTCACAATACAGTGAGCTAGAGAAAAGAAATGTTATTACACAAATTATAGAAAAAGAAAATATATTACTTATTCATGAAGTGGAAGTGGACAGTCATAAAGGTCTTCACGCTGAGGAGGCTAAGGAGAGGCAAGAAGAGGGGGTTGGTCTTGCGGTCTTACAGGTGGCAGAGGTGGAAGAAAATTGGTGTTTGAGTGAACCTCTGCAGTTCAAACATATGTTGCTCAAGGGTCAACTGTAATTCATAAATGTTTGACTTCTCAAAGGTAGATGGAAGGGGGCCCAGGTTCCAGTCAGACAGCTCCCTCACCTTCTTAGTTCTTTCAGCTATCCTATCTAATAGAGATGTATTATGACATTTACAGTGCTAATGTGTAACTTCACACCACCATAGGGAAAGGCAGCCTTGAGGAGATTTTATCTGTGGCATTCACTAGGGTCTGCTCTGATATCTCTATAATGATGCTCTGTGATGGTTCATGTGATGTGTCAACTTGATTAGGACATAGTGTGCCTATGCCTTTGATCCAACATTATTCTGGATTTGTCTATGAGAGCTTTTCTGGATGAGACAAACATTTGAAGGAATAGATTGAGTACAGGAGATTCCCCTTTCTAATACGGGTTGGCTCCATCTACCAGTGGAAGGCCTAGATAGAACCATAAGAGGGAATTCCTACTGCCTGACTACTTGAGCTGAAACACTAGTCTTTTCTTTTCTTTTTTTTTTTTTTTTTTTTTTTGCCAGATTTGAACTAAAATATAAGTTCTTCTTGGGTCTCAAGGCTGCTAGCTTTTGTTTTGGAACCATACCATCAGCTTTCCTGGGTCTCCAGCCTACCAACTGCAGATCTTGGCACTTCTTAGGCTCCATAATCACACGAGCCAATTCTTCATTATAAATTTTATATATATACAGGCACACGTAATTATATATATTTATACACACATCTATATGTATGTACCTGTGTATGTGTGTATATATACACATATACATATATACACATATATATATGCATATACACTTATATATGTGTATACACACTTATATATACTTATATACACACTTATATAAGTGTATACACACTTATATATGCATATACACACATATACATTATATATATATATATATATATATATTTATTTATTTATTTATTTATTTCACATCCTTTTGGTTCTGTTCCCCTGGAGAAACTTGTCTAATACATTACTTCAAAGTATAAGAATCAACATTACGTTGTCGAGGATCAACATGGTGTTGGCACTGCCCTTCTCCTTAAATAGTCGGAGAGTGTATCTCCTGTATGATACCAACCCAAATACTAGCTGATACTATGGAATCACTCAATATTCCCCCTAACTCGTCTCATTCCTCCTGCCTGGCCAATTCTCTGAATAGCACTTGCTCTCACCTCCTTGGTCCTTATTCCTTCTTTGCTCTGTATCCTATATTATGTGCCTCTGGCCCATCTGAATTTTTCCAGCACACGAACACTCTATTGAACTTTGGCACTTTTTCTGTGGTCTCTTCCATTGCTCCTCTCAATAAGGATCATGGCATTTAAGCCTCTGGCCTCTGGCCTCTGATCCCATCTCCTAGCCCTGGTCTGCTCTGAGGATTTAGGAGAGAATTGGGCAAAGATTAACCCTTGCTAGGGAGCTGAATAATGCAATATCTGTATGATAGACATGGTTTTTGGCAGCCTCAATTAATAGGATGGCTAAAGGAAAATGGTAGATGGTGCTCTTCTACCCTCTGTTTCCAAAAGATTTATGCTATTTAGTGAATGTACATATTCAAAAATAGATTTAGTAAGTCTTAATTCTATTAAATATTTATACATCTTTTTAAATTGAGGAACAACTGTACGGTCATCCATTGGAACAGGCATGCTGCTGAAAGACAAAATAATTCTGATGTATAACAATAACATAGATATGTGATGTCACTTAATATTCTCTGCAATATGCCAAATCACACATTTTAAAATTACAGCATATTAAAGAACAAAATAATGAATAGATAGGATATTATGTTCACAGTTTGAGAAAGAAAAATAGTTTCATTCAGGCACCCATCATCTTTTTATGTACAATCAGAAGGACATTAGATTTTATGGAATGAGACACAGGACAATGACTATACATTCTTTTATACACTGGCAGAAAGAAACAATTCATATGAGCCCTGGAAATAGTTATTCAGTACAAACTTCTGTCTGGTCTATAGTTCACTGAAATTCAAAAATATATAGTATACCAAATAACAGCCTAGGTTGCAGTAGTATTTGCTAGAATTGTTTCCAAAAGATTATTTTCTGATTAGAAAAGAAATTACACTTTATTTAAAGTGATTAACGTCAAATGGCCAACAAGCGATAAAACTTGCATCTTAATCAACCATCTCTAAATATTTCAAGTACTTGATCAATTCACCACATAGGATTGGGCATATAAGCATTTTTAAAAATTGTAATTCATATAATGCTCTAATATTTTAAACCTTTTTGTTAGTTTTTTCTTAGCTTATCCAACTTAATGAAATCCCCTAATATACATGTAAAAATACAAATTTAACTATCAGGTTTAATATCTATAATATAAATTTAAAAAGATTCCCTGTCTTTCTCTTATGCAGATTCTAAATCTAAAGAGACTCCTAGCAAACTACATAGAAAAAGAATGTCAAAACTATGCAATATATTAATTCACCACTTCTTGCTTGATTAAAAAACAAGGCCCTATTGGTTGCTATGGTCTGAATGTTTGTATTCCCTATCCCCAAATTCGTATGTCAAAAACCAATCACCAATGTGATGGTATTTGAAGGTGGTGTATTTTGGAAGATGATTAGGCCATGAGGTTGGAGCCCTCATGAATAGAATAAGTGCACTTCTAAAACAGGCCCAAGGGATCTAGTTTGCCCCTTCCAACTTGTGAGGCTATAGGGAGACAGTGTCACTCCATGAACCAGAATGTGCATATTAAGCAGACACTGAATCTGCTAGTGCCTTGATATTGGACTTGCCAGCTTCTAGAACCACAAAAAATAAACTTCTGGTATTTATATACTACCCAAATTATGGCATTTTGTTATGGCAACCTGAAATAACTGAGACATTGATCTTTCCCTCTTTTAGCAGGAGAGCATAACCTATTCTCCTTAGGTCTCTGATCTTAGAGCCTGCATAAGCGTAGAGACACAGTGTAGGTGGGTTTCAGATGATTAATATCTTGAATGAATAAGTGGGAAAAATCAGTCACAGTACTTTTAAAGATGTTAAATATAAAAATGAGTTATACTATTATATGATATACATCAAAAAGTATAAAATGGTATAACTCACTTATAAGTGGGAGCTAAATGATGAGGACATATGGACACATAGAGGGGAACAACACACACTGGGGCCTTTCATAGAATAAAGGGTGGGAGGAGGAAGAGGATCAGGAAAAATAACTAATGGGTACTAAGCTTAATACCTGGGTGACGAAATAATCTGTACAACAAACCCCCATAACAGAAGTTTAGTTATGTAACAAACCTGCACTTGTACCCCTGAACTTAAAAGCTAAAAATAAAAAGTAAAAAAAAAAATAAAATAAAGTCATATATAGAAAAAAGTATCCTGCTTACCTCTAAGCTCCCATCCTCTCCAATAGGTAAACATTGTAATTTGTTATTTTCCCTTTTTAGAGCAATTTCTTATATATAAAAGCCAATACAGATGTGAACACATACATACAAACCCATATATATTTTCCACTGTCCCTATTTATATGAATGGTAGCCTAATATACATATTTTTCTGCACCCAGCTTTTTTTCACATAACATTTCAGCATACTCCCAAAATAACAATAACAAATATTTCAGTACAGAGAAATCTTTCTTATATTTTTATAGCTATATTGAATTCCACTGCATACATGTAATATAATTTGACAATCTTCCAAAAGATGATCATTATATGATTTAAGATATTTTGATATTTTTAACATGGCCATAATAAATATCACTTGTATATCTGCAAGATAAATTTCAATAAGTATAATTTTGAGTTCAAAGAGTATTCAATAGATACAATGAATAATTGGATATTTTTACCTAGCAGAATATAGCTCAATGTTTCCAGAAATAAGCAATGAAATACAATTATTTTAGTGTTCAATACACATGCACTTTTATCAAACTAGATCTAGTTTATTATTTAAAGAGAACTCTGAAAATCTGGATTTAAAATTTTTAAATCTTTTCCTTCAATTACAGTATGAATAACTTACATTCAACAAATAATTGAAGCTTGAACTGTTAGTTTTGCAGGAAATAAAGTAAGTTTATGCAGTGACATCATGATCCCAATATTACGCAGAAGGTCACTTAACAATATTCATTCATATATCTATCCACAAATATCTGCTGTGTATTCTGGATTCTGGATGCATTTTTTAAACTTATTTGTTTCAGATTAGCTTCCATTTTCGTAAATCAATAAAAATACAAAATACAAAATGCAGGACATATTCATCAATTAAAAATAATCAAATTTGCCACCAAATTTACACATAAACTAAAATGTTTAACTATTTCTGATTTTAACTATGATATATTAAAATACAGTCATTTTTTCAAATGTTCTCAAAGAAAATTTAGCGGGCATTTATGTATCCATGTCTCAAAGATTATCTCATTTATTTTATAAACTAAGAACCAACTCCAAGATCTTTTACATTGTTATCCACTTCTTTTAAAAATTAAATAAATAAAATGATTTTTTAATATCATTTATTTGACCTTATCTGAATTATCTTCAAATCAAGGGTTTCCAAAAGTCTGTTTTGTATTAGAATTTAAACTTTAATTATTCTTTAATAAGCATTTCGTAGGAGGTATTTTTATATTCTTAGTTTATCACATCTCCTGGAACAATATTTGACTTCAAATAATCAACGGTTCTATTTATGAAGAACTATCTAATTTTTCCTTATAACAATTACTAAATATGAATTTCTGGTCCCAAATTTGTTATATATTTCTCTATGTTTCTTTAGTTTAATAGGCATTTAGTTTGAAATTATCTCAGGTAAAATTCTCCATGAGAAAAAGGAATCAAAGATTTATTTTTAGCAATAATAATACTCATTTGCAATACTACTATTTTTCAACTTATGAACAACCAAAATTTATTTAAAAACTTGGAGAGGGCCGGGTGTGGTGGCTACACCTGTAATCCCAGCACTTTGGGAGGCTGAGGTGGGTGGATCACTAGGTCAGAAGATTGAGACCACCCTGGCCAACACGGTGAAACCCCGTCTCTACTAAATATATATATATTTATATATTTATATTTATATATTAATATATATTGATATGTTTATATATATATATATTTTACATATATAGCCAGGCATGGGGGCGCACGCCTGTAATCCCAGCTACTCAGGAGGCTAAAGCACAAGAATCGCTTGAACCCAGGAGGCAGAGGTTTCAGTGAGCTAAGATCGTGCCACTGCACTCCAGCCCGGTTGACAGAGCAACACTCCAGTTCAAAAAAACAACTTGCAGGAATTTCCAGATATTTTGAATTCAATTAATTTTAGAAAAAGAAAAAATTAAGGTAAAGACTCAAATATATTAAACAGAGCTGCAGATTACTCTTATTTTCACTTACTTTAACTGAATGCAGTTAATACATTCATCAGAAACACATATATGTAAAATCCTTTAAAAATATACTGCTTCCTTATATTTAACTTTTGATGTTCAAAGAATATATCCTTAATTTAAATAGCTCATTTGAAGAGGCTTTGTAGAACTCAACCCAAAATACAATATGAAATAATTGGCCCATATTTAGTCCTCAATTCTTTATCTACAATTCTAAAATTCAAAAGTTCTGAAAACCAAAAACTTGTATTAATCCAAACTTTATTAACTGATAACTAACTTCCAAACTGATGGGAAGTTACTCATAGTCTTTTTTGATCTCATATAGAGGAAATATCTCTATGTTTTATTGCAGAAATATGAATATGATAGCTTGATCCTGCTGGGGATGTTGTATTACATACAGTACAGGTCCTGAATTAACTTTCTAAGATTATAAACAAATTCTGACTTCTGAAACATACTGAAACAAACATTCAGATTAAACAGCTGTTAATGTGAAACCCCAAGAATATAAAATCATCAGACTATAGTCATTATGGAATGCAAAAGTTACACATTTTATCCTACAATATTGATACGAAACAAGATGATTTCCTTTTTTTTTTTTTTTTTCCTTTGAGACGGAGTCTCGCTCTGTCGCCCAGGCTGGAGTGCAGTGGCGCGATCTCGATTCACTGCAAGCTCCACCTCCCGGGTTCACGCCACTCTCCTGCCTCAGCCTCCCGAGTAGCTGGGACTACAGGCGTCCGCCACCATGCCCGGCTAATTTTTTTGTATTTTTAGTAGAGACGGGGTTTCACCTTGTTAGCCAGGATGGGCTCGATATCCTGACCTCATGATCCGCCCACCTCGGCCTCCCGAAGTGCTGGGATTACAGACATGAGCCACCGCACCCGAAAGGTGATTTCCTTTTTTTTTTTTCTTTTGCTTTATTAGAAAATTGTTTCATATTTATTTTCAGATGACTGAGAAAGATCAGAAATATTTCAGTTACATTTTATCTGAATTGATTGCTTTTGTAGAGAACTTGCATTTTCCCTATGACAGAGTAATTCCCATTTTATTTTTATGTCCCAAATCCTTTTTTTTTTATTATTATACTTTAAGTTTTAGGGTACATGTGCACATTGTGCAGGTTAGTTACATATGTATACATGTGCCATGCTGGTGCGCTGCACCCACTAGCTCGTCCTTTTTAAAAAACAGTAACTGTCGGTCATGTAAGCATCAGCGTTTCATGAAAAATTGAATGTTATAAATGATACAATTCTGAAGAATTGTAACCACAAGTTTGTTAAAGGCTTACAAAGTTTAAAGAAAGCTATATTTAACAAAGAAGATAAAGGCTTCCTGGTAACTTTTATGACTTTCTATCAGTCATACCTACTTTCTGGGCTTATCAATAAGTAACTGACATAATTGTATATGCATATCTCTTGAAAATATTTAGTAAGTATTAGTATAAATATGCTTTTTTTAAAAAACTTATTGTTATCGAAAAGAAATATATAATTTTAAAGAATCAATTCACACATTCTTTCATTCAAGATATAGCATATAAGTGAAGAAATGGTACTTTTCAGGCACAATAAGAATTATATTACTAGAATATCTATTTTAAAACAATAGAAAGCTATTATTTGTAGTTATACTTCTTTAAAATATAAGATTTTGTAGCAACACTCTTTTTACATGCAAAAGAGAACCATATTTAAAATAAATGGGAAACTCTCTAGGTGAACATGTTAAGTTCTGCATTCATTAGATAAGACGAACATGAACTGACTATTTAGCTAATAGTTCCCTACTAACACCTTGGGTATTACACAAGGTTCACAAAACTATTAATGGAAAACTCACAGCTCCATGCCTCCTATTTAGCAAACTCCTATCTCTTTACTATAAATTACAAACTCTAGCATAATTGCAAATCTAAATAAATTCCCTGGTGATTACAGATTATAGTCACAAATCCAAAAAACTACAACACAATATACTTTCTCCAGGAAAATTAATTATTTCAATTCTAGGCAGCTCAATAGTCAGGATTCAGCCACCAGCTGGCTAATATGTACAGTCTGAGCAGTTACCAGCAGGCTTCTGCATTAGTAACAGCAAGATTCCATTTCACAGAAGAATACTGCAAATGCTATGTATAAATGATTTGCTCTCAAAGAGTCCTTAAGGCATAAGTGTTTTATCCCCTTAAATGCTCAGGCTAACTTACTCCACATGATGTCATCAGGATTAATTTTGAGCAAAGCAAACAAAAGGTGTAATACAGCTCTCCATGGAATAACCAGAAACAGGAATCCTAAAGTTTAGAATTTCTTGATTTTAGGGTCACAATAAATGCATTTACTAATCAAAGGGTCAAATGGCCTCATTTCATATTTCTAAAAACTGACATTTACAGAGGTTATGTGATTTTCCCAGACTTTAGTCACTGGACAGCAGGTGCTACAATATAACCTAAGGCATCTAGCTGAGATCAGTCCCCTTTGACAAGATAAGAGGAATTGATCCCCAGAAATGCGCTGCTTCATTAAAATTTACCAAAACGTACAATGATTTCCTGTGATTTGAGCATGGATTAAAATTATTTAATGGATGAATTTTATAGCAAGTAAATTGGTTTATCAATAAAATTGTTTAAAATTAATGGGAAGAGTTAATGGATGGATACATAGATAATTGAATTAATGAAAGATATACAGTAAAATGTTAATGGTAAATTTAGGTAGTGGGTTTAGAGGTACTCAGTGCAAAATTCTTTCAATGTTTTTGTATGTTTGAAAATTTTTTTTGAGAAAATGTTGGGGAAAAATGAAAAGGTAATGGGCATCATGTCTGCAACTCCTTCTTAAAAAGAATAAGCTTCAGAAAAAAGCAAAGGTAATAAAATGTTAACTATTAGGGAATCTAGATTAAGGGTATAAAGGAGCTCCTTGTACTCTTTTTCCAACTTTCTGTAAATTTAAAACTATTTCAAAATGAAAATTAACAAGAGGGAACAAACTACTTGGCAGGAGTTTGTATTTTAAGGGTTTTGATTTTATAAGGGAGCTATAGTATCTTAATGTCTTCCTGAGGTATATCCACCACACCCTAACCCCCTGTAGCACTCTTCCCCCGAAACAGGTACAGAAGGCTTCTGGTTATTAAATCACAAACAAGGCAAAATAAGAATGAAAGGCAACCTTCACAATCTATGATGGGAGGTGATATACTTTGGATACTTGTCCCTCCACCAAATCTCATGTTGAAATGTAATCTCCAATGTTGGAGGTGGGGCCTGGTGTTTGGGTCATGGGGGCAGATTCCTAGTGGTTTGGTGCTGTCCGCATGATAGTGAGTGCCCATGAAATCTGGTCATTTAAAAGTGTGTGGCATTGCTCTGGCCATGTGATATGCCTGCTCCACCATGATTATAAGATTACTGAGGTCTCCACAGAAGCCAAAACAGATGCCAGCACCATGCTTCCTGTAAAGCCTGCAGAACTGTAAGTCAATTAAATCTCTTTTTTTCATAAATTACCCAGCCTTAGTTATTTCTTCATAGCTATGCAAGAACAGCCAATACAGGAAGGTAGGTTTATATAAGCAAAATCTATGAATTAGGGCAAAATTTTTAATGGAATGTGGTAAAGTAAATGTAAATAAAAGTAAATAATCAAATACACACACACACACACACACACACACACACACACTTAATAGCCACTCTTGTTTTAAAAGCTGCCTTACATTTTTATTTTGTTTTTGTTTGTTTGTTTTCAAATTTTATTTGGAGATGGGAACTTGAATTTTCCCTTAATGCAAGTTTGTAATTTTTTTAAACATACGCACACACATACTTCAAGTAGCCTCTTAATACACAAAACTAAAGCAAATATTCTTTTCTGAAACCTACAGACTGAAAACGAAGAAGTGGTCAATGACTCCATACCATAATGTGAAACAATCTCTAGGCTGTAGTTGGAGACTCATCTTCTTCATCTCAGTTTTCTGGAGGTGTTAGGGACAGCTGCCTCTTTCCTACCTCATTGACTTTAGAAGGGGTTCTGAAATCCCAGTATGGGAGGGAGGCTAAAAGAAGTTCACTTGTGGAAAGCCATACTTTCCAGGTTATGGTGGACTGTAGGCTGGAGAGAGCTCCTGGGAGAAAAACTTCTGATGAGAGTTCATTAATTCTTACCTTGCACCAATTTTAAATTTCGAAACGCATTATGTGTTCCCTAAACTCCTAATCAGCTGTGTAAAGTATTTAAAGCTTGGACTTAGCTGTTTGATGGACATCTGAGTTTGTGTCCACTCTGAGGTTAAAGAGCCCTAGAAAGCCTTTCAGCCTGAGGTTACTTCCTTGGGCTTGAGGCAACAAGAGGCTTGTAAGACAGTCAAGTCGAGTACTGAGAGCAGGACTCCACGGAATTTTTGCCTAAAAATCTTCCCATGAACCTGAAAAAAGGAGCATTTTGTGGTCAGAGAGCAAGGGGAAGGTGCCTCCTCTGTGCAGGACAGGTCTGTGACACCTGGTGGACCCTGCAAGCAACAACATGAACCATAACAATCATATTTGGGCCAAGCTAACAAATTGATGTGATTTCCCACCAAAAATATGAAACTATGAGTTTGTCTTTTTAATCCTTCAATTAAATAAAGATATAAAAGCTAGAAGAAGTTTCAGAACTGATCCAGAGAACTACCTCATTTTACAGATGGTAATAGCGGGTAACATGCTTATAGTGTATATGTGCCTGGCATTGCTCTATGCAGTTTAGAGACATTAACTCTCATAACTTCCAACAATCCTATAATAAGTAATATTATGTCTCTACTTTATTAGGGGTAAATAATATCCCTAAATAATAAAATATTATATAATAAGTAATATTATATCCCTATTTTACAGATGACAAAAAACGAAGGCCCAGAGAGGATAGTGACTTGCCCAAAATTGCACATCTCATATGTCAAAGATAAGAAAGTTGCAGTGCAAGCAATTTAAATCACTTGTCTAAGTACATGCAACCTCCTACTAGGGATACAGGCTAAAAACCAGGTCCTTAGACTATGAGACTGATTCTGTCTCAAGTGCCCCATGTAATGCTGATCACATAATGAAAAACACATTAAATAACATTACATATCCAAACCCTGAAACATTTCACCATGAAACATATACACGAATATATGTCTATTTCACAGAATCCCCAATAACCAGTACTAGTAAATTTGGTAAGAATGAAGCTAAGCTGTAACATCATAGTATAGAACATTTCTGTGTGACATATAAACTATGAAACTAGTCTTGTATTGTGATAAGGTCTTGGCAATTTCAAAACGTTTTTAGTCTTGCAGCCTGGAAATTACTGTAATTTGATAAAACTGACAGGTATTGTATAGGTTGTCTCCCAGGGTTTTTATACAGTTTGAGGTTTTACATTTAGGTCTTTAATCTACCTTGAATTACTTATTGCATATGGTGTAAGGAAGGGGTCCAGTTTCAATCTTCTGCATATGGCTAGCCAGTTATCCCAGCACCATTTTTTGAACAGGAAGTACTTTCTCTATTGCTTGTTTTTGTCAGGTTTGTCAAAGAGCAAATAGTTTTGGGTGTGTGGTCTTATTTCCAGGTTCTCTGTTCTGTTCCACATGTGTATGTTCATTGCAGCACTACACAATAGCAAAGATATGGAATCAGCCTAAATGCCCATCAATGATAGACTGGATAAAGAAAATGTGGTACATATACACCATGGAATACTATGCAGCCATAAAATGAATGAGATCATGTCCTTTGCAGGGATATGGATGGAGCTGGAGGCCATTATCTTTAGCAAACTAACACAGGGACAGTAAACCAAATAGTGTTTCTTCTCTCTTATAAGTGGGAGCTAAATGATGAGAACACATGGACACATAGAGGGGAGCAACACACACTTGGGCCTTTTGGAGGGTAAAGATCAGGAAGGAGAGGATCAGGAAAAATAACTAATGGGTACCAGGCTTAATACCTGGGTGATGGAATAATCTGTACAACAAACCCCCATGATACAAGTTTACCTATGTAACAAACCTGCACATGTATCCTTGAACTTACAAGTTAAAAAAAAAAGAAACTGACAGTAAAAAATAAGGAAAACTGAAGACAAAAATATTCATCCTAGACAGTGCCTGCTCTAAGATTCTGGTACAGTAGCAAGAGAAATTCCTTATTTTCCTATAACAAATAACATAGCCATATCTTCATTTTAAAATGAGCTGTTGATGCAGTTTAGGCCTAGTGTGCATTGGCTGACATTTACTCTCCACTGAATGTCCAGTGCCTGTCTTAAATTTACTTCTGTCCTCTAATTTAGAGAAATAAAAAAATAATTTAGAAGTGCCCCCTCAAAAGTCTTGTAAGGTAATGGATGCACATATGTTTCTTAATTCAAGGCCTTCAAAATTTCTTTTAAGATTAATTACTGAAGAAGACCAAAATTATTAAGGTATGAAAATGCTAGAAGTGTAAAAGCTAAAATCAAAGTTTACTTTATTATTAGGTTTCTAAGAGGGCAAACAGTTCTCAAACATCTCAGCACTTAGTGATGTAATGTCAGCATTTAAAACACTGTTGATCTACTGAAATGGTAGGTCAAAATGAAAAGACTCTAGCTGAATGCTGAGAAAATTCTGAAAAATTCCAATATTAACTGTTATTATAGAATTTCAAATTGTGCATGTGTGTGTGTGTGTTTTAACATATACCAGGTAGAATGAGGAAACATTAATAACCCAAACTCTTCTGTAAACCTTTAACTTTCCTGAGAAAAAGAGATTGTTTTTCATAAAAGGAGAAAAGCTGAAAAGCAATTGTCAATTTCTGTTCGTGATTTGATTTTGAGCACCCCTAAAAATACTAAAAAGTGCTACTGAAAAACTACATCACATATCGGTTGTCACAACAAGAAAATGTTTTCCTAGCAGCACGAACCAGCATTTGGATGCTAAACCCTGAGCTAAAAAATATTTTCATAAATTTTTAAAAATGTCTTTAATCAAATGACTTGTTAAAGAAATAGGTTGGATTTTAAAGTTTATAAGGTGGCCGGGTACAGTGGCTCATGCCTGTAATCCCATCAATTTGGGAGGCCAAAGTGAGCAGATCCCTTGAGTCCAGGAGTTCAAGACTAGTCTGGGCAATGTGGTGAAACCCAGTATCTACAAAAAAATAAAAAAATTCGCTGAACATGGTGGTGCATGCCTATAGGCCCAGCTACTTTGGAGACTAAGGTTAGAGGATTGTTTGAGCCCAGGAGGTGGAGGTTGCAGTAAGCTGAGATCACACTAATGCACTCCAGCCTGGGGAACAGAGAGACCCTGTCTCAAAAAAAAAAAAAAAAAAAAAAAACTTTCAGAAGGTAACATGGTAACGTGCATTATACTTTAGAATAACCATTTTCAAGCTTTTTGATTATTGGATCTCTTTATACTCTTAAAAATTATCAAGGACCCCAAGAGCTTTTCTTTATGTGGGCTATATCTATAAAACTACTTATCATATTAGAAATTACCACTGAGAAGTGTTTAAACAGATGCATACACAGACACACATTCCATTATCCTTCAAAGAGCTGATGTAGCACACTGCACATTCATGAGAGAATGAGACTGAGAAAAAGCCAACGATGTCCTAGAATTATTACAAATACCACTTTGAGCTCACAAGACCCTGAAAATGGTCTCTGGGACCCCCCCAAAGATACCTGATGAAGACTTTGAGCTTTTACAATATAGAGTAGCATTCCCATTTAAAATCACAGCATTAAAAATAAAGTTATTAGTCACCCACCCCAAAATATTTCCACCCTCACAGCACACCACCCTCTTTGATCTATGTTTCTTCGATGCTGTTATCTCAGAATGATCCATGGGAATAAGTACTTGACTCTTGAGAAGAAAGATGAGAGGCTATTGTTGGTCCACCAATATTCATTATTCCCTTTCCTAATAGAACTCCTGAATTTCACTGAGGCACATGCTTGCTCAGGTGGGAAATACATTTCCCAGACCTATTTCCAACTTTATGCGGCCATGTAGCTAAGATGTAGGTACACGGAGTATGAACCACTCCTGATTTTACATGTGAAATGAGTAGGAGGTTTTCTCTGGCTCTTTTCTCTCTTTCCAGTGGTTGAGGGATGAAGATACAGAGACCAAAGGATTAGGATGTCAAAACTGCCCTATCAGTTCTAAATTTCTCACTACGGGGTTTGCTACTTGACAAGGCACATGAATTTGTTCTCTCTATTAGTCCGTATATAATATACTTTCTTAGCTTCTAACTACTACAAGAATATTCATAGTATTAAAAAGAGGGGGCCAGGCGTGGTGGTTCACGCATGTAATCCCAGCACTTTGGGAGACAGAGGCGGTGGATCACCTGAGGTCAGGAGCTTGAGACCAGCTTGGCCAACATGGTGGAACTCCATCTCTACTAAAAATATAAAAATCAGCTGGGTGTGGTGGCAGGCGCCTGTACCCAACTACTCAGGAGGCTGAGTCAGGAGAATCCCTTGAACCTGGGAGGCGGAGGTTGCGGTGAGCCGATATCGCGCCACTGCACTCCAGCATGGGAAACAAAAATGAAACTCTGTCTCAAAGAAAAAAAATAAAATAAAAGAGGTATCTTCAATTAGTAAGGCAGGTTTGTCATACACACACATACGCACGCGCGCGCGCACACACACACACACAATGTGCATTACTTTTAAAACAAATTCAGAACCAATAAGAAGGGAAGAGATACAGAAGGTTGACTCTTAGGAGGGAGAAAAGGAGACGACTAAATGCTGAGAGATGGTAGCATGCATTTGTCACTTAGGTAATGAATACCTGTGTTCTAAAACTCAACTGAATAACAGCAACACAACCTTTATTTGGGGTCAAGAATACTCTGTCATTCAGTGGGACACTCCTATCAGTTTCTTAAGATTCAGCCATCTCATTTAGCTATCTGGGGTGCTCTTCACTGATCAATAAAGTAAATCACCTGTTAAGGTGAGACTGTGTTAGAGCCTTTTACCTCTGTGTTTTAAGAACACTCTGATATCTCATGTTTTATGGGGAAGAACTCTGCATTATTTTTTGAACATCTACACGGATTCTGAAATACTTTCCAAGGAAAACTGCACAACTGTCTCTAGGTATAAGCTTGGGGCCTTCTCTGGAAAGTGCATTGGCTACCCTTAAGGCTTAACGACAGGTTTCACTTCGCTTTTCCTAGCACGTTTGACAGTCCACCTGCCTGACAGTCATAGAAATGCAATTCTGTACTAAGGTAAACACAACCTGGTAAGAAGCTACTCCAATCTAACAGAGGCTGGGAGTTACAGTGGAGATTCCCAAATACCAGCATTCTCAATCCATCCCCAAGTACCAAGTTGCCTTAGCAAAATAGAAAAATAAAGATAAAGAGTACCTTATCAAGCTAAATATGTTCAATCTAAAGGTCTGTTCTTTCATCTGAGATTATGTCCCTCCTATGAAATGGGGTTAATAATCTACATTGTAGCCTTTTAATAATCTAGATCATAGATTATGTTCTTCCTATGAAATGGGGTTAATAATCTACATTGTAGCCTTTTAATTTGCTTAACAAAATTTTGAAGAATAGGTGGCACTATGCCAGTTTCCAGATTTTGAAATTGACTTATCTTGGTCATTTACATCTAAACATTTGGGAAACACTGTTCCAGAGCATACAGCTTTTTCTTTCTTCCAATTTTTACTCCATGACATAGGCTCTCTGTCCTCTTCTACAACTTCAATCTCTAACTAAAAACCTAACCAAACATGGCATCAAGAGGAATAGTGATCATTAATATCTGCATAGAATTTTATTGTTGGCAAAAGATTTTCACTTATATTGTTATTTAAAACTAAAAATAACAAGGAGAGTTCTTCTAAGGGATATTGCTAATTATTTATTCCCCTTCAAAAAATTTAGTTTTTAAGTTTTGTTGATTCTGGACCACCAGATAATCCAAAAGCTTCTCATGTGAACCGTCTCTCTCTGCATACCCAGAGGAACTTCTTTAATCTCAGTATAGCATTAAGCTCTTAACAACCCCTGATATCTTATGTAAAAACACCCATCAGGGTGGTTTTCAGCAACAATTTCATGATACCATGCCTCTCTTCTAGAATTGATATGCCTATTTGCTTCAAAGAAAAAGAAATCATGATACTCAAGAACATCTTTCCCTCAGGCTTCTAGAGAGCAAAGGAGAAGTTAGGAATACAATTGTCGTGGCTCTCCACAACAGATAGATTTAATATAACTAAGTTTTGTATTGCTGCCTTACAACTGAGATTTTCTTTTTTTCTTTTGAGACAGGGTCTCTCTCTGTTGCCCAGGCTGGAGTGCAGCAGCGCAATCTTCGCTCACTGCGATCTCCTCCCTAGCTCAAGCGATTCTCCCACCTCAGCCTCCCGAGTAGCTAAGACTACAGGAGTGCACCACCATGCATAGCTCATTTTTGTATTTTTGTAGAGATGGGTTTTCACCATGTTTCTCAAGCTGGTCTCAAACTCCTGTACTCAAGCAATCTACCTGCCTTGGCCTCTCAAAGTGTTGGGATTAGGGCATGAGCCACAATACCTGGCGGAGATTTTATTTTAGATAATATTATATATCTGTTGGTTTTGTTAATAAAATTATTTGGGGCTCTAATTCTAAGTTTACAGAAGTGTTTTTCTGATTTCAGTGTTCTTATCTGTTGAAAGGTGTAGCAACAATATGAGGAAAGAAAGATAGATAACTAGCAGATATTGGGCTATTCTCAATACATAATGATACAGCATTCTCTCTGCCTTTCTGAAAGTTAGATGCTGAATATTGACATTGATATGAAGCATGACATTCACATGTAGATTTGAGAGTCAGCCTTTTTAGTTTTTACAATGAGTGACCTTTAGTGTCTTGCAAAATGTCTTTTAGAAGTGAAAACTTTAAAAAGCGGTTATATTTTAGAAATACAATTTAAAAAGCAATTATAATGGCTCAAAATCGCCTATTTTCCTCATCAGAAAACTCCATACTTTTAATGTGACAAATCCTTTTGCTCCTTTAAGTAATTAAAAAAAACACTTTTATATTTAATTATATGGTAAGCTATACATTCAGAACAATACATTTTGTAAAAATGCGATTTTCATGTTATGCAATAGATGCTGGCTGGAATGATATTTATTAAAATGCAGATTATTGTTGTAACTTAGAACTCCTCTGACTTGACCATGAATAGGAGATTAAATATGATTTACATTTAATTATAAAGGAAAAATTATATTCCAAGGATAAACTAATTTTGAAGTCAGATAAATGCTAAGTCAGATAATGCTATCTAACCAAGATTAAAATGGCCATGTTTTGTTTGTTCTCAGGAGTAAAATGTGCTAAAATATAAGCCCCATAAAGACACCTATTTTTATGTGTTTTACTTCACAGATGTATCCATAGCACGTGGCACATAATAGGTGCTCAATAAGTATCTGTTACATGAATAAAAGGTTATAAAGAAAAAAGAGAGACAAATAGTTAATGACAATATTAGGACACCTGCTATGTGTATAATGTAGTCTTCGGGGTGACTGCATGTGCTCCTTCAGAGTGATAAAAGGTTTTTAAATACAAATCTGTAGGTTATATAATACATGTTATAAACTAAATGTTTGTTTCCCCCTATAACTCATATGTAAAATCCTAACCTTCAATGTCATGGTATTCATTGGTAGGGCTTTTGGAAGATGAATAGGTCATGAGCCCTCATGAATGAGATTAGTACCCTCATAAAAGAGACCCCAAGAGAGTTATTTTGCTCTTTCCACCAGGTGAGGTCACAGTGAGAAGATGGCCCATGAACCATGAAGCAGGCCCTCATCAGACTTTGAATCTGCATGCGCCTTGATCTTGGACTTGCACCAGCCTCCTGAATTGTGAGAGATAAATGACTGTTGTTTACAGACCACCCAGTCTATGGTACTTTGTTATAGCAGCCTGAAGTGACTGGGACATACAAGGAATGAGAAATAAGCAGAGTACATTTTACTTCTGAATTTTCTACAATATTTTGATAGCCTAAGAAAATGGGCACTTTTTGAAAAGTGTATTTTTGGGCAAAGCTTTTTAGGGGTCTATGGATAATGGAAAACTGGAAAGCATGTAAGGAGGGAGCCACACACAGTGAGGGGCTCCATCATTTACTTCCAATCTATTACCAACAAAGATGAGAATCGTCTTTGTGAGTCACCATGCTAATCATGACATATCTCGTCTTATGAGTCCTAAACAATTTAAAATTGCTTCTGAAAATCATATGAAATTTAATTGTAGACTTCAAGCATCTTAATCAAGTCTCCTTTCTCATCTATCCCTCCCAAATTATACTTTAAAATCCCAGCAAAATACAAATCACAGAAAGCCCTGTATCTCTGATTGTAATTTCAAGTCTAGTCAGGACAACTTTATAAAATGAAGAAGAATTAACCCTCCTCTCATAGTTCACACACATAATTTCTCCCATCTGAAAAAAATCTTGTACTACTGCACCTCTTCCTCCTCTTCCACCTTCTCCTCCTCCTTTTTCTCCTCCTTCTTCTTCTTTTCCTATATTATATTTCTGAGCTATTTTTAAAATTTATTTTATTATTTTTTATTGGTACATAACAGATGTCAATATTTTCAGGGTACATGTAAAAATGTGATACACTACTAGAATCAAATTAGGATAATTGGCATATCCATCACCTTCAATATTTATCTTTTCTCTATGCTAGGAACATTTGAATTATTTTCTTCAAGCCATTTTGAAATGTACACTAGAGTAGTATTAATAATAGTGACTCTACTGACCTATCAAACACCACGTCTTATTTCTTCTATCTAACTGTATATTTATACCCATTAACCTCTTTTCAATTCCTCTCTTCCTCTCCTTCCTAGCCTCTGGTAGCTACCAATCTACTCTCTATCTTCACGAAATCTAGTTTTTTAGCTCCAACATATAAATGAGAACATATAATATGTTCTGTGTTTGACTTATTCACTTATTCACTTAAAATAATGACCTCAAGTTTCATCAACTTTGCTGTAAATAAGAGGATTTCAAAAGAAAATTTTAAAATTTCTGGAAACAAATGAAAATGGAAAAACAATACATCAAAATCTGTGGGATACAGTAAAAGTAGTACTGAGAGGGAAGTTTATAACAATAAACACAGACATCAAAAAAGTAGAAAGATTTCAAATAAATAACCTAAAAATGAACCTCAAGGAACCCATTAAAGCAAGAAAAAGTCAAACAGAAAACTCGGAGAAGGAAAAAAAGTAATAAAGATCAGAGCAGAAATAAATGAAACTGAGACTTAAAAATTGCAGGAAAAAAAAAACAAAACAAATGTAGTTTTTTTGAAAAGATAAACAAAAATCAACAAACTTACAGCTAGACTAAGAAAAAAAGACCCAAATAAAATAAAAAATGAAAATAAGAGACATAAGAACTGAGATCATAGAAATACAAAGAATCATTAGAGACTACTATGAACAATATATGCCAACAAATTTGAAAACTGAGAAGAAAATGAATAAATTCCTAGACGTAAATTCTACCAAGACAGAATATGAAGAAATAGAAAATTTCAACAAACTAATAATAAATAACAAGACTGAAAGGGTAATAAAAGTCTCTCATCAAAGAAAAGCCCAGGAACTGTGGCTTCCCTGCTGAATTCTACCAAAATAAAGAGCTAATACCTATTCTACTGAAACTCTTTTTAAAAAAAATTGAACAGGAGGGAATACTTCCAAATTTATTTTATGAAGCCAGCATTACCCTGATACCAAAACCAGACAAGGACACAACAACAAAAAAGAAAACTGCAGGCCAATATTATTGATGAACATAGAAGCAAAAATCCTCAACAAAATACTAGCAAACCAAATTCAGCAGAACATTAAAAACATCATTCACTAGGATCAACTGGGATTCATACCAAGGATGGCTCAACATTTGCAAATCAATGAATATGACACACCACATAAACAGAACCAAGAATGAAAACCATATAATTATTTCAATTGATGCTGAAAAGTATTAGATAAAATTCAACATGCCTTTGTGATAAAAACCCGCAACAAATTTGGTATAGAAGGAACATACCTCAACATAATAAAGGCCTGTTGACAAACCCACAGCCAACATCGTACTGAACATGAAAAACTTGAAAGCCTTTCCTTCAAGTTCTGGAACAAGACAAGGATGTCCACTTTCACCACTCTTATTTAACATAAGATTGGAAGTCCTGGCCAGAGCAATTAGGCAAGAGAAAGAAATAACGGGCATCCAGATTGAAATTGTTTTCCTTCTGGAAGTCAAATTAGCCTTGTATGCAAACGACACGACCTTATATTGAGAAAAACCTATAGACTCCACCAAAAAACTGTCAGAATTGATAAATTCAGTAAAGTTGCAGGACACAAAATCAACATACAAAAATCAATAACATTTACATATACCAACAGCAAACAATCTGAAAAAAAAATGCTATCTATTTTTGAACAGCAGCGGTAGAGGTGGACTTCCCACAAAGTCAATGTATACTTAAGCCATGGCCTTCACACAAAGAACTAGGAAAAGTCACAGCAGTATGATCACATAGCCATGTGCTTTTGTAAAATTTTCAAAAGTGAGATAATTTATCTGCAGTTACATAAGAATGTTCCCTTTTCCACTCCAACTTCCTCTTACCCACACTTCCCTTTGTGTCAGATGATTTTAGAGAACCCGTGGGCATTTTTGGAAGGTAAGCAAAAGGGATTTGACTTGGGAATATTTGTGATTTTGTTTCAGTGAGATATATTTCTGTTGCTCCCCATAACTTTTGTGTAAAGTTAAGTTATTGGTAGTGTTGTTGGTTTAGGAATGGTTTCCTAGAACACTCATACTCAATGGACTCATGATATGAAAAGTACTAGTCTAGAAATCATGGCATCATCACAAAAACATGTCCCATTGTGCCTGGCACCAAAAGTTTATGGGTAGCATTGAGTGAAAAAATGTATTTCAAATACACGGAGTTAAAGTGCATTTGTATAAAAAGCATTCAATCATAAGACATGATACAAAATTCTAAGTGCAATCTTTTGTCCTTAATGAAGTCTAATCCAAAGCAAGTTCTCTCCTGTCCATAATACACTCAACAATGCAATATATACAATGATAAATGCATTACACATTCTTTCTTGATGGAAATTATATGAAATTATATTCATCAGAATTTGTGTTTTCAAGGCCTCAGCTTGTAGTAGCACTATTAAGAACCGTGAAGGTCATGGGGTAAAATTTTATGTTTTATTGTACCTCAGGAAATTGTACGTTAGCATGACACTATCAATAATGAGCTGTAAAGTTGAAAGAAATTTTTCTGAACTATCAATAATAAAAGGCAAATTTCAATCAACCAAGATAGAGAAAAGACAATATTTACTTTCCATTTTATGCATAAAAATATTAAAAAACCTGTGTCATAGGAAGATATCACCAGAGTACACAGCCAAAAACTAAGGGCAAAAAGAATTATACAGATGTGTCAGGCAGTTAATAAATAAAAGCTATTCCTCCAAATTCTGTGATCTTTTATTTTTGTTTGATTTCTTATAATTCCTTTCTTCTAAATATTCACTTAATATAAAATTTTGTATTGTGCATAAAATATAATTTTTTGTCTTCTTTTAATTAAAAATTGACTCCCTCTTTCTCCATTTATATAATCTTCAGATCTCACAAAACCTGGATCTAACACTGTTCTGTACTGTCTGTAAAACTTTCCTAAATTAATGTTATTCAATTTAAATCTTTTCTCTCACTATAGCAACAAATCTACACACAACATAACAAATAGAAGAGACAATTGCATTCATGTTGTTCTTTCAGTTGGGGTAAATATAAAGGGGAAAGAAGCATATACAAGCAAAGGTAAGTGAATGGTAAGTCTTGATTCCAAAAATAATAATAATTAAGAAAGAAAAAGCATTGTTTATTATAGAGTCAATGAAGACTTGCACAGTCTTGTGCATTTAGGCAACTGGGTACTCAAACTAAATTGTTGGTTGAAAAAAAGAAGAAAAAACATTGCTGGCAACTCTCAGCTTTGTAGATTGGAGACTCCCTTAAAATAGGACAAGTGACTATGATCTTAAGAAGCATGCACCACAGAGATGACATTAAGCTGATTGATTTTTAAATTTTATTCTGCAAAGCAAAAGCTCTTGGCAGATGCAATATTCTTCAGAAGGCATGGATGATAGTTATCAAAACTTAAATACAGCTTTCAAAGATGTACTTGGACTAGAAGCTACTCTAGGTTAATCTCTTCTACTTATAAGACACTGAGAAGAAGGCAGGAAATGATAGAGATGAGAAATAAAAGAGGCCTAATACTACTAAATTGGCTTTCAATTAATACAGTCATTTTCAAAGGATGCTCCATGGACCAGCAGCATAATCTGGGAACTTGTTACTCAGGTAAATTCTTGGGTCCCAGCCCAGATCTACTGAATCTGAAACTCTGGGACTGAGGGTCCACAGTGTGTATTCTAACAAGCCCTCCAAGTGATTCTGTAACACACTCCGGTTTTAGAAACACTACATTAAGAAAGGCATGGAGTAATATCTCCTTGACTACCCCATCAATAGAGTTTTAAGTCATATGTAATAGACAATTCACCTTTTTGTTTCTTTTTTGAGACAGAGTATCGTTCTATACCCCAGGCTGGAGTGCAGTGGTATAATCTTGGCTCACTCCAACCTCCGCCTCCCGGGTTCAAGCGATTCTGCCTCAGCCTCCCGAATAGCTGGGACTACAGGCATGCACCATCACACCCTGCTAATTTTTGTATTTTTAGTAGAGACAGGGTTTCGCCGTGTTGCCCAAGCTTGTCTTGAACTCCTGACCTCAGGTGATCCACCCGCCTCGGCCTCCCAAAATGCTGGGATTACAGGCATGAGCCACCGTGCCTGGCCAACAATTCACCTTTTCATTGAACACTTTCTTTTTGGCCAAAAAAGTACATTAAGCACTTCCCTGGGTTTGTCACTATACATAGATTGTCTTGGGGAAAATTAATTTGACATTAACAAAATAAAAGTCTGATATGGATGAACCTCTAAAACAATATGCTAATTTCAATAAACCAAATAAAAACTGTATGTTTTATAATTCTATTTATATGAAATATTCAGAAAAAGCAAATCTCTAGACAGAACGCACATGAGTTGATGTGTGGGGATAGCAGTGGAGTATAATGGGCATTGACAGCAAACCAACCTGAAAGATTTTTGGGGGGTAATGGAAGTGATCTAAAACTGGATTGTGGTGATGGTTGCACATCTCTGTAAATTACTAAAAATAATTAAATCATACACTTCAAATGGTTGCATTTTTAGTATGTGTAGTCGTTTCCTAGGGCTGATGTAACAAAACATGATAAAATGGGCACCTTAATAGAACAGAAATTTATTGCCTCACAGTTCAGGAGGCTAGGGGTCCAAAATCAAGAAAGTAAGCAGGGCCATACTCCCTCCAAAATATGTAAAGAATAATCCTTCCCCCCTTCTGCCTAGCGTCTAGTGTTTGCCAGCAATCCTTCTCAATCTTGGCTTGTAGACACGATACACCAATCTCTTCCTCTGTCGTCACTTATAGCAGCCTTTTGCCTGTGTGGTTCTATCTTTTCTTATAAAGCTATTAATCAGATTGAATTAAGGATTAACTTTGCTCCAGTATAACCTCATCTTAACTAATTACATCTGCAATAAACTTATTGTCAAATAAGGGTATATTCTGAGAGGTATTACAGGTTAGGACTTTAACATACCTTTTTGGGAGACACAATTCAGCCTCTAACGGTATGCAAATTATATCTCAATAAAATAAAACTCTTACACAAAACTATTACAAGACATCCACACCAAAGTTCGTAGGATACTTGAACATATGCCATTAAAAAACACCTCCCATAAAAACAGCATTATTGGCAATCGGGTGTTATTATGACCAATTTCTTAGAAAGACACCTCATGTCTCTCAACTCAATCCTGTTAGAGGACATTTACGATCTCCTAAAGACAATGGATCACACATCAGTAGATTAAGTTTAATTTCCACAGTTTGCTGTAGAAATGGATGAGCAGAGAAAGGGAAGAAAAAAAGGCAAAACGTGAAGTCCTTTGTCAAAATTACTTATCAGTATTAATTGGTATATGTGGGTGTGTTGGGGGAAGAAGCTTCCTGTTAAAACACAGCCACCTTTGGCAGCAGGATCCAGAAGCTACATAAAAGAGGCATCTGGCTCTAAAATTTATTAATGAACTAGGTCTCGATTGCTCAATCTTACCCAGTACCTAACCCTTTTTTCTCATTTTATCGACTTACGTGCTTTCCTAGGTGTGTGTTCAAGTTTTGTTTTTGTTGTTACTGTTTGATTGGTTGGTTTTGAAAATCTCTTCTATATAAAAGCCCCATTTCCATTAAAATAAAATTTAAACTTTTTTTTTTGTAGTTTCCCAGATATTAAAATCCATCAGGTTTGGGGAGTACTGGATGTAGACAGAGCCACCATACAGTCTACAAATACAACCATTGCTAAAAGTTGCTAAATAAATCTATTCTATTGAAAGAGGGCCTGTCTCATGTGACTTTACACATTATCCATAACATTGCTATTTACGATCTTGGCACCACATTCCCTTTCTGTTTTTTTTAAATATTTATTCCATAATGCTATCAATTTCTAATGTATATTATAATTTACCTATTTATAGTGTTCATCACATACCATCTGTATCCCTGAATATAATATAACCTATCCAAGCAGGGATCTTTGTCTTTTTTTCCCACTGATAAATATCTCAAGTGCCTAGAAAATTGTATGGCATACAATATGCACTCAATAGATATCTATTGACTTTTTACAGAACATTCTTGCTATTATGACTTGAAATACTCTAACCTTTTCCCCTGCCTCCTTCACCACTTCAGTTGATATCTGATTCTGACCTGATGTGCCCAGGACAATTTCATCTTAACTGACCTGCTATCTTTCTAATGTTGTGGGCTCTCTTTTATGAAGTTCTATGCCAATTTAGTTCTTCTTCTATAGTCATGAGATACAAGGAATTTAACATGAAAGAAAAAGCAAAAAGAAACTTTTTTGTGATCATAGTTCAAGCACAGAGCAAAACTGTTCTGAAAATATAAAGTTCTGGCTTAACAAAGAGTATATTGAGATCTAAAGGTTCGTTCTGTGAGAAAAAATACAAAAGACTGCTTATTCAACTAATCTTCACAAACCAATTAGGTATACTATCTCTGAGAATTTATATCCTTCTATAGTTTTTATTTTTCTATGGAATAATATAAGTTTCTAAATACTCCTTGAAGCTTAAGAATTCTATAGCAATGTTTGTCAAACTGTCACCTGCATCAAAATCATTAGACTTGTCACATCACAGATTGCGGGGTCATACCCTTAGGAGTATCTGTTTAGCAGATCTGGGATGGGGCCCAAGAACAGGTACTTCTAACAAGCTACCTGTGATGTGGATGCTGCTGATCTGGGAACCACAGTTTAAGGACCACTGGTATATATCATTCCAAGTTCTCATTTGTTTCATTTTATCCCCAAGCGTCCCCTACATTTCTGATGTGAAAGGGTACATATATGATGGTTCTGAATCATGAATTAACTCTCCCACAAGTTAAAAATAAAAAGCACCACAAATGCATAACAGTCATAAACTCCCAACCTATATCCTTTAGTAGCACACAGAAGACTGCTCAAAGGGCTTCCTGAAAGTCTACAGGTACTGTGCTTCCTCAGTTTCCTTGAATTGAATCTGGTACACATTTATGATGAACAAATGGTGTAAGTCTGGGACAACAGTGAGCCAGTGAAAGGAGGCTTAGATGTAAGCTCAGATTGAGCTTCTTGGCCCAGCTATAGTTTGAAGATTCAATTATCTCAATTCTAAAATGACAAAAATAATGCCACTTTGCAGAGTTATAATGGTAAAACTAGATCATGTCTTTTAAAATATGAAATCATTTTTTGAAAAGTAGTATCAAATGTGAGACCAGCAAATCAATAATATTCTGAAGTTTAATTTGTGAATAAAATGGACCATTGTGCTCGTTCACCAGAAAATTATCTAGTCATCCAAAACCTCTGTTCCCTTTCCCATCTAAAACATGAAGAAAATACCTATATAAGCAAAGGCAGTGAAAAACTGTGGATGAGAGGTTATCACGACCTTCAAATTATATTCCATGTGAAGGGCTTAGAGAAAAACAATGTGTTAATCAGCAATTAGAGTCTGCATCTCTTTATTAAGACTTTAAAAAATGAATTTTAGTCACATCATTAAATCAAAATAGTTAAATCCTTCCCTGTGGTCTTAGTTCCTTCATGCAGATTCTGTTACAACTACAATATCACATCTTGAAACAGTCATTGTAAAGTAAATGGATTTCTGAAGTTATAAATTTGTAAGAGGCATAAAATTATATAAAACAAATTCCTGATAATGATTTTCTGGTATATTACAATCTTAAGTGAACCAATTTCAGCTGAGATAATTAAAACAAGATTTCCCTCCATGCAAATTTACCCTAAATGAAAACATTCTAAATTTAATTCTCATGTATGAATAGTTAATCAGCAGAATCAGAGCTTTCAAACTAGGGCAGCCTTAAGTAGTGTGCATGTATGTATGTGCACACGTGTACATGTATGCCTGTTTGCGCATTGAGAGCTAGGCTTGGGACGAGAATGTTAGAGAAAGTTGGCAGTGATGAGCCAAATCTAGATCTCCCTGTTACCTCTTCCACTCAATACAGGGCAGGACTTCTTTCTGCAACGCTGATATTAGAACAATATTCCAGGACTTCATAGGTGACTCAAATGCTTGATTAGAATTTCACAATTAAAAAATATATATATATGTAATAAGACAAACACTACACACACTGAAAAATGTTAAATCCCAGATTTTAACATACTGGAGACCAACATCAGGACTCTCGTCAAACCAATAATTGAATTACGAGTAAGTAAATTATTGTTAATATTAATTATAAGACAAATTTATATTTATGTTCTATTGTTTCTCTCAGTATTAGAGATTGGATTTTTGTGTAATATTCCATTTGAAAGAATTGTTTCATTTTGCAAATAATCTGAAAACTACTGCTTTAAAACATACCTGAAAAACAAATGTAGCTTCTTTGTAAATGCGTCCAATGTTGGCAAATTCAGAATTCCCAAAGGCAGCTCTAACTGTGTGAAAAAGTTCTTTGTTATATGTAGAAATCTTACTTCCTGTGATATCTACTCACTCAACTGTTTCTGCTTTACCTACTCCACAGAGCAGAACAGAAAACATTCACTTTTCTAATACAGTGCTTGATGCCTAGTATATGCTCTCTTTGTCTCTCATCTTCACATTTTCACATTCAAAAATGACTATTTATAGAACATCGAATGGCATGGCCATTAGCATTGCCTTTTGTAAGTCGATAAAATAACTCTGCATAATACATAAACATCTGTGCCATAATGCTGGTGTTTTCCCATGTATTGATGAACAAGCAGTAGATTTACTTAAGGTAGGTATTCACTAGTGGGTACTGATAACAACAAAGGAATAAATAAGTAATTAAATTCAACCCATTACAACCAAGAACATCAGCATTCATGTGCATACATTTAACCTTGGGTCAATAATTAATACAGAAGTATAGACATTTATGCTGCATATTCTACTGCACATTACTTCTTTCAGACATAACTGCTATTGCAAGGATATATGGTTAATGGCAATATCTTTCTTTAGGATGAGCTGAAGTACAATGGAAACTTAAATATGCATGAAAGGCAAGCTTTCTCTAAAACTCTGGCAGTTATTTGATATTGGAACAGCACCATCAAAATATTCAGTGACATTAAATAATGTGGTATATTTACAAAAATAAATCTTAAGATAGTCAAGAGATTAACAATGAGTAATGACCGATTCAATTAATATCATGGGTAGTCCTTATTGTGTCCAACAGGTATAAAGATACTTTATATTTTGAAGGTAATTCAAACACACGCACTTACACAAGATATCTTAATTTATTTTCACACAAATTCTGAATAGGATATTTTTATTATAATTGGTAACTTTATCACCTATATTTTTTGAAATTATTCATAAGGCATATTGTCATGTACAAAAAGTATACAAATAACATTTAACAAATAAAAGAGATTTTTCTCTTTTCTTCTTGATGTTAATGAGTTATTAATATGCTATTAATATTAGTTATTAAGATAACTAAGTTATGAAGATAACTTAGTTTTCTTAGGGAAACAAATTGCTAGATCCTAGGACAGTGACCTACAACCATAGAGAATGAGATGTTCATTCGCTCCTGGTGGTTGCCTACTCTTGCTTACTTTACTTTGAGCAGTGAGGTTTTAAAAATGAGGATTTCTATGTTTTCTCAAGTTCAATCTTATCAGTGATCAGATCAAGAATGAGGAAGTTGATTGAAATTCTCTTTAATGCCACATAGATGAATTCCTTTATATGTATTAACATTATCCCCAAGTGACAAGTGTGTAAACTAAGGCTCAAATAAGTTAAATGACTTCTTAGGGTCATGTGATTAAGTGCAAGAGCCAAATGACTTACGAATCAGACAAGTGCTGTTACATTGTGTTAACCCTCTTTTTTATTGTTGACTAGTGTTCTAGTCCATTAATGATCCCACAGTTAATTATAATCTTATTTATCTTCAGGAATAAAGACTATTATATCATGTTCAGGTCTACAATTATGGTAGGTTCAAAATCCATTCTATGTAAATGAAGGTATCAAAATATTTCAAACAAAACTAGCCTTAAGATCTTTGAAAAAAGTCTTGTGTTAGGCTCTACCCATATGCTAAAGCGTTCTTTGTAGATGCACATCAGGACTGGAGGTAGTGGCAGTTATGCCTGGACTTGATACAAGTTCCTTTCCCTATCTTTGCAACTCTCCAATCCTCTATCTACCTCCAATAAGTAGGCTGGGATGCATAGATAAAACTAAAACATGAAAAGGCAAAGAAACACAGGAGCAAGCAGATTCTAGTCTAAAGGTGGTAATAATCAGTTAATGAAGAGAATCATTAGTTTTAGAAATACTGATGAAATCAATGTCTTAAAATCGTAGTATATGATTAAACTGGATGGGTCATCTTCTTTTAGTATGCCAGACAGAGACAGCCTCAGGTTACTTTAAGTTGTAGATATTTGTTGTAAGGATGTGCAGAGGTCTCACACCGAGCTAGATTTTCATGGCAGTACAGCTCAGCTCTCAACTCTGGATATCTTCTCTTTTATTCACTGCCTTATTTTTGTGGTTTCTGCCCCAGTGACTGTTTCCTTTAACTTTCTCCCCTCTTTGTTCCTCATGGTATGTGTATAGAACAGTCGCATAAATTCTGTCTTTCTCTTCCCTTCTACCTCAGCATCTATTGCTCTTGAGCTTGACATCTCCAAGGGAGATATTTGCTCACCAGTTCAATATAATCAGTATTAAGGAATCAAAATCATGTTGGGCATGTACTCTGCTCATCAAAATCAAAAGTTTTGTGGGACCGAGAGCATGCCTGAACATAACAATTAAAAAGAGAGATATACTCGTTATCTTTCCCTAGTTAATAAGATTTAATATTAATCTCATAGTTACAAAAAGCCACAATGAATACTTCTAAAAGTGGAATAAAAAATGTAGGCAGCCTATTACTTGGTAAGTGGAGGTAACTAGTACATCTTTGGAGGGAGTATCTGAATCCCTTCAAAGTTTAGAAGATGCATCTTGAAAGACACACTCAAATGGATGCATCTTCTCAGTTAAATGCCATTCACTTATAGAAAGTTTCCATTGTCCTTATGCTGATGAACTAAACCATACCACCTATAAATAGCACTATCAAGGAATCTGTATTATTGGTTTCTCTTAGAACATCAAGTTGCTATTCTTGGGTCATGGTGGGGTAAAACTATGAGCTTGGCATGTTATGGACTGCCAAAGGAACAATGAGTCTATGTATGACCATGGTGAGCCACCAAACCAGCTGAACCACTAATTTCTATAGAATAACTAGGTCTAAAAAGCCTAATTTCTGTGCTTATAAAGCAAATATCTGTTGACCAATCTAAGATGACAGTTTTATTCTAACAATAAATAGGGTAAAATTTAACTGGTATTTCAAGTTTATCTCAGAAGCAATGTACTGAAATATAAATTTCTAATCTAAAAGAAGTATAGTGTATTCAAAATGTTTTGAATATAAAATATCTCCTAAACAGTGTTTCAATAGGCCGGGTGCAGAGGCTCACACCTGTAATCCCAGTGCTTTGGGAGGCCGAGGCGGGCAGATCATGAGGTCAGGAGATCGAGACCATCCTGGCTAAGATGGTGACACCCTGTCTCTACTAAAAAAAGAAAAATACAAAAAAAAAAGTTTCAATAGAACAATAGGCTAACAAGATTATTTTATGTCTAACAAAATGTTGTAGGGGCCAAATGTATTTAAAAATTTTTACATATTTTATCCCTTATGCGCTACTTCAAATAATCTTTAACTCCTAGTAAATTGCTATTCTCATGCTAAAATTCAATAGAGTCCATCAGCTCTGCTAAGAACTCCTTTGACTCAAACAAACAAGGTAGTCACTCCATCTTCATTGTTTCCAGAATATGGCCTGTGTGTCTATTACAGCACATATTGTATTATTATTGTAATTGTTAATACGACTGTTGATGGAAGTGTAAATTAGTTCAACCATTGTGGAAGACAGCGTGGCAATTCCTCAAGGATCTAGAACTAGAAATATCGTTTGACCCAGTGATCCCATTACTGGGTATATACTCAAAGGATTATAAATCATTCTACTATAAAGACACATGCACACGTATGGTTATTACAGCACTGTTCACAATAACAAAGACTTGGAACCAACCCAAATGCCCATCAATGATAGACTGGATAAAGAAAATGTGGCACGTATACACCATGGAATACTATGCAGCCGTAAAAAAGAATGAGTTCATGCTCTTTTCAGGGACATGGATGAAGCCTGAAACCATCATTCTCAGCAAACTAACACAGGAACAGAAAACCAAACAGTACATGTTCTCACTCCTAACTGGGAGTTGAACAATGAGAACATATGGGTACAGGGAGGGGAACATCACACACCAGGGCCTGTCAAGGGGAGGGGGCAAGGGGAGGGATAGCTTTAGGAGAAATACCTAATGTAGATGACGGGTTGATGGTTGCAGCAAACCACCATGGCACATGCTTACCTATGTAACAAACCTGCATGTTCTGCACATGTATCCCTGAAATTAAAGTATAATAACAAAAAGAAAAAAAAGTCATAAAAAAAAACAAGCAAAAAAAAAAAAACTTTCTCCAACTTGACAACTAGATTTTTCATTTTGTTGCATTCACCTTACACATGCATCTCTGAAGAGAAGGAGGGATTCCCTGAACATGCTGAATTACTAATTACTTTCTAAAAGTGTTATCAGTGGAGCACTATCATATTTAATAGAGTGAAATTTATTTGACGTTGTCATTAAAAATGCTTTTTATATAAAAACACTAACAATATTCAGTGTGTTTCATTAGCACATGTTTAAGGACTTAACTTTGAAAGAATAGTACCTATCAAAATATCTTCATAAGCTACTGAATAACATTTAGGTAGTAACTGCTCTTGCAGTTATCAGTGGCTTGCAGCATGATTATTACAAGGAAACATAAAAATTTTACAGCATATCTCTGCCTCTTCATTTCTCCAATCTCTTAAATGCAGATGGCAGTGCCTTATGTTCAGGTAGGAGTTGCTTACTATCAGTTTATGGTCTTAGTTCAGCCATAAGGCCACGTATCATCAAAAGGTAATTCACTCACTATATTTTTTTGTTGTTCATTTCTCTCTGAATTCACTGAAGCAACTATAGTGACCAGATGTGTTTTTTTTTTCTTTTTTTTTTTTGTTTGTTTGTTTTGAGACAGAGTCTCACCCTGTCACCCAGGCTGGAATGCAGTGGTGCGATCTCAGCTCACTGCAACCTCCGCCTCCCGGGTTCAAGTGATTCTCCTGCCCCAGCCTCCCAAGTAGCTGGGATTACAGGCACGTGCCACTAAGCCCAGCTAATTTTTGTATTTTTAGTAGAGATGGGGTTTCACTATGTTGGTCAGGCTTGTCTTGAACTCTTGACCTCGTGATCCACCTGCTTTAGCCTCCCAAAGTGCTGGGATTAAAGGTGTGAGCCACCGTGCCCAGCTGACCAGATGTGTTTTTAAGGAGTCTATATTTGTAAAGATGCTGAGGGTCCTTAGATAAAAAGAAATATCAACACACTTTTTCAAAGCCCAATTGAGGAATGACGTCCTTGAGAATCAAGAAAGCAGACACTTCCTAATGAAGAAACGATCAAGATACTCTCAATTATTGGAAAAGGCAAAGAGTTGAGTGAGAAGTTTAAATTTGTTAATCCAAAGAATATATATTCCTTTATCCAAGAAACAAGTTTATTGTTAAAATGTTGCCATATAAGCAATGAACCAGACCCCACACATTTCTTTCTATGTTTTCCTTGCACGCTTTTCATTTCCCCAATTGCAGTGGGGCCAACACCTGCTGAGGTGGAGCAGGTACATAATTGAAGTCGAAAATTACAGAATGTTACACTGAGTGCTGCTTCTCCCCCCTTTCAACAGATAAAGGGAGGGCAGAAATGGAGACACAGGTCCATGGAAGTTAAAGGCACTGAAGTCAGGTTCACAGTCTGTGAAGTTGGGGGCAAGTGGGAGAAAAAAATAAAACTGAATATAAAGACAGAGACTTGCAGGCAAATTACAATGAAATCCAACATTTTGACAATGTTGAAAAAGGGAAATTGACAAAAATGCTACATTCTGAGGGAATGTTTTTTGTTTTCTTTTTTACTATCTAAGGTTTCAGGTTAAGAAAAACTAAGTTTATATTTTGAAACGGCACAGAAAAGGATAGGGAAATTTGTAAATATTTAAAACAACAGCAGAGAATTAACAAATAGACTTAGGGTATTAATAACAGGGGTGAGGAGTGGGCAATTCCTAAGAGGTCTGTTTTAGTTATTTTGTATGAAAAATCTTTAAACATTGAACTGACCTTTTCCTGGAAGTAATTCATGTACAAAATATACTTAACAAGAAACTCTGCAACATCCAAATGTCACAGTCATTCACTTCATAGAAGGTAAAAAGTGTTCTTCAGAAGAAGGGAAAAAAAATTATTTCACTGAAATTAGAAGTGCTTTAACATTGGTTTTGACGTGAACATGGTCACTTTTAAATTGAAAGTGGGGTGTAGAAAAGCAAAAGACTTTCACAACCTGCTTCTAGCGTCTTGTAAATAACTGAATTTGAAGATTTTCAGTTTTCTTTAGCATTGCTGCATTGTTCTTCTTTAAAATATTTTAATAGGTAATTCAATTCATATATATTATCAAATATTCAAAAGGTACAAAAGGACTTTTCTCTTATTGCTGCTCCCAAAGACTATTTTCATTCCCCAAATCAAATACCATTACCAGTTACCTATATATATGACTCCTTCATGTATATATAAATACAATATCTGCTGACATTTAAAGCAAGGTTTGAGTACACAGAAAGTTTACATGATATTTACTAGGATTAGGAAAAAAAGTTAAATATTAATGAAATAAAGGTTACTCTTTTTTAAGGTTTTACAGAATCTTTACAAGTTTTAACTATTTCATCCTTAGTCTTAATGGAAACGTTATCATGTATTATACCATTTCCTTTATGAGTTAAAGTATAAAATATCTAATAAAATTTTGTGTGAAAAATGTGAGCTAAAGTATGAAATATAAAGAAATATATCTCAAAGTTTTATATTAAAAAAGACTACTCATTGGGTACAGGGTATAGTGCTTCGGTGAAGGGTGCACGAAAATCTCAGAAATCACCACTGAAGAACTTATTCATGTAACCAAACACTACCTGTTCCCCAAAAACCTATTGAAATAAAAAAAATTATACATTAGAATATAACTCTGGCAACTTGCAAGTCTATCCATGCTACAGAGTTTTTATAATTTCCTAAGAATAGACAAACCATGAATTTTCTGCTGGCAGGATTAGTCTTTTTTTTTTTTTTCTTTCATTCTCAGACTCCCATCTTCAGGTACTGCCCAGGCTCCAGACGTTTTTCTTGACATTACCAAGGAATGACTCAAGAATTTCTACTTTCAAATGCTATACTTGCTACTCTTTAGTTGCAACCTTAAGTGCCAGTTCCAGTTGGTCCTGTCTCGTTTATTGTGTCTGAGATCTCATCTTCATATATGTTACATACATCAAGCTACAGATGTGAGCTCTGATTTCCTGTTAAACTGGGATCCTGCCTCTGCGCCCAGGGCTGTTTTGTTTGTTTGTTTTTCCCACCCCCTCCCCAAGGGTCATTTGTATCTGTGTGCATATTTGCATATCATTTTTGTCTGCATCTCCAGTGCTGGAACTCTGGATATTGGTAGATACTACTGTTAACTTTGCAAGGATATGGGTTGCTTGGTTGGATCGCTGTTGGTGGCTATATCTCCCAAATACTGTTTTCCCACTCCCCATCCCTCCCACCATGATTTACTTGTGGCATCTATAACTAGGTCTATCTTGATGTGAACAGGTCAAGCTTAAGATTTTCATTTTTTTTCATAATTAAGTGGATCATATCCAATATTGTCGAAGTGAGAATGCCAAAACAAAGACTTATTCACAAAATAACATTTATCACTTATTAGTATAAATTCGTCTACCCACTAGAGACTCCAGGAAATGGAAAAAGCCATAATGGTAGAGTTGCCTGAGAATCCCATTGCTGAAAGAATATTTAATTTCAGAAACAAAGCTCAAATACTTCATTCCAAGGTAATTAGATTTGTTTTCCTTATGGAGAAAGTAGGGTTTGGTAACAGGTATAGACTGGATTAATTCCTACTTCTGTCTGTAATATGTGACCTCAGGCAAATTCCTAATGTTTCTAAGTAAGAACTTCCTCAAGTATGAAACAGAAAAGGTAATGATGTCACCCACCTCATGGGATTTTTGTGATGGCTGAAGGGGATAACACACGTAAAGCACCTAAAATAGGGCCTGGCACATAGTATTACTTAACAAATATTATCTACAAGAATTTGAATATTAGGAATTTTCATATTTATTGGGCAAGAAAATTAATTTTCTTCTGAGAAATGAACCAAGGAAACAAAGGAGCTTTTTCTTTATCAGAAAACCCTTATAAAAGTAATATGAGTGGGGTAAAAATAGTAAAAGCAAATTGTGTGTCAAAGATGATAATAAGTGCTTTATGTATATTATCTCATTTAATTCACAATAACTCTCCATGGTAGAATTTAATTTTTAATCTTTTGAGATAGAGAAACTGGAGTTTCATCAGGTTGCTATATGCAATGAAGTTAAGATCTAGTTGTCTTTCTAAACTTTTCTCATGATAGTATCCTGTTTCAATTTCAAAGGCAAATGTGTATTGAAATTGCTAAATTTCATATGTTATACGTTTAAAATGTTATATTTGTTTCAAATATCTTGCATAAAGGGATCTAGATTTGAAATTCTAAAAATGTGAGTAAGGCCGAATTACAAGGCAGCAAAGCCCACGCCCGGCTCTGTAACTACTGCATTCTCTCCTGCTTGAGTCTGGTAACGGCACTAAATAAGGCCTTTCTTCATTTTATTATGCATCACAAGGGAAAGGCTCCATCACAAACTATGGCTTAGCAGGAAAATAAACTTGGATTCAGCAAATTAACTTTCAGCATAGTTTTCAATGACTAGGGTCTCAGACTATTAAATTTTGAATTTCAGAAACACGCTGTAGCAAAGAACAACAGCTGCTGCTGAATCCCAATCCACAAAGCAACAGCAGTTGCAGCATCTGGACCAACAGCTACTAAAGCTATATCAGTAAATAAGGTGAAAGTCCCCATGCAATTTGACCCTTCAAAATCTTCTCCCCAAGCCTGCAATGGGTGGCTCAAAGGTATCTTCACAAGGAAGGCAAATGGCATATTTTTTAAAATGTCTGCTCAGGCAGGAGCCTGTGACCTTTGCTCTCTGTCGGTAGAATGGATACTAACGTTGCCAGCTGGAAGTAAATGGATATTTTAATTGAAACACATATGACTATCTCCAACTGGGGGTTGGGGGAATGCAAACTAGAGAGTCTTTCTAAGTTATCAATGAGCACCCAGCATGACTTAGCTTCCTACAAATGATCCTCCATTAGCCTGGGCTTGTTTTGCAAACAAATACTCAAATAGAAAACTGCTCGGCTCTTGTATATTTGGCACTGTTTCCCAATACCAGCCCTATTAGCGGATGTGAAATATAAAGTGTAATTTAGGATCATGTTCATTTTTGTTTCCTGGGGAAAATGGAAAAGAAAACAGTATTAGAATATAAGAACTGCAACAAATATATATATATATATATATATCGATAGGGATATAGTATGCAATTATTGATATAAATGTGTATCAATCTTACTAAAAATTATTTTTTCATAGATGCAACTTTCTCTTCACTTCCAATGTTTAAAATATCTGATATTTTCCCAGAACTTATTATTCCAGTGAAAGAAATTAATTAGTCTTTAAATTTACTATTATCACTTAGGATAAAGGAAAGAGTTCTTCACTGAATGTGAAATGTTGGCTATCTATCAATATGCTTTACTCCACATGCAGATGTTTGTTTAAATGGCAAGAAATATTTTGTGAAGACAAAAAAGATCATTAGTCATTACCACTCAAGTTATTTAGCCTTTCTAAAGATTACCGGTGCTTGCTTGCTTTCATTATATTACTTATTTTAAAGAGACGTCACATGTGAGGTTAAGGTATTTCACAACAATGTTATTTTTCTTGATTGTTGTTCAAATACATAAGAAAGAGGCTTAAAAATGAAGTTACTGGGGAAGAGAGCAGAAAACACAGCCAAATTTAAGGTTTGACATGCGCAAGAAGACAAACAGCTGATTTTTCTGCTTTGTTATCAAAGTAGCTTTTATTATGTTCCCACAAAATTAACAGGGTTATGCTGGATATTGAGCAAAATTCTTTTTTTTTTTTTTTTGGAGGCGGAGTCTCGCTCTGTCGCCCAGGCTGGAGTGCAGTGTCATGATCTCGGCTCATAATTTTTTGTATTTTTAGTACAGACGCGGTTTCACAGTGTTAGCCAGGATGTTCTCGATCTCCTGACCTCATGATCCGCCCGCCTTGGCCTCTCAAAGTGCTGGGATTACAGGCATGAGCCACCGCTCCCGGCCAAGGTATTAAGCAAAATTCTAACAAGGAAGGCAATATATTTTGTTTGTTTGCTGGACACAGGGTCTCACTCTGTTGCCCAGGCTACAGTGCAGTGGTGTGATCATGGGTCACTGCAGCCTGGACCTCCTGGGCTGAAGTGATCCTCCCCACTCAGCCTACAGAGTAACTGGGACTACAGGACAGGCACACACCACAACACTTGGTTAATTTTTTTTTTTTTTTTTTTTGGTAGAGATACTGTTTCGCTGTGTTGTTCAGGCTGGTCTCAAATTCCTGGGCTCAAGTGATCCACCTACCTTGGCCTCCCAAAGTGCTGGGATTAAAGGAGTGAGCCTAACTGCAAATCCATTATTTTTTTCCTTTTTTAAAATACTTTCCTCAACTTCATCTAAAATGAATGGCCCTTAAAATATGTTTCATTCAGATGAGGAAAGGAAGAGAAAAGAACCGGATTAATCCAATAAAGAGACCTTAATACAAACTCAATCAGAAGACTGTTGCACTGTTTTTATTGAGTTCTGACATTTTCTGTGTAGACTGTGCAGCGAAGGCACAGCATTACTCATTGGCAATAAATCCATTTAGGTGTGCAGGTGATGCCCAGATGATGTTTATTCTAAGGAATCTTAATGTCTTGGCCTCTTCAAAAACTGCACAAATAAACTTGGCTCAATATTAACCACAGTTAGTGAACCTTAGGATAAAGAAATGGGATTAGTCATCCCGTGATGCATTCTGCATTCACCCGTGGCATCATGCCAAGGGTACCCCATGCTACTGTGTATTCACTCCATTCTTAATAACTTGAAAAAATGGAGATGTTAGCTGCCTTTAAGAATTATGCATTTTCTATGAGGATTTAAGGTTGCTGAGAAGGCAACTATGAACAATCAATAGCTACTTAATAAACGCTGTATAAATGTATAGTAAGTAAATATTCATGTCTTTTTATAAAGTAGACTTCAACAGAGCTCTAGAGGCTCTGGGATTTTCAGTGATCTGAAAAAATTGAGTGCAGAATTTGTTTGTATTCATCCATCCCTAGTGATCCATATACTAAGTCAATTGTGTACTAAATTGTTACTGAGAAAATTCAATTCATTACATGTACTGGGCAATTATCATCAATCATGTGCCCAGCACGGTTGTTGGTTAGAATATACATAGTAGGATCCTTGTCCTATATATTTGTGTATAATACTGTGGGGGAAAACTTTATGCAAGATATTTGAAAGAAATATAACATTTTACAAGTATAACACATGAAATTTAGCAATTTCAATAGACATTTGCCTTTGAAATTGGAACAGGATATTATCATGAGAAAATTTTAGAAAGACAACTGATTTCACATACTGAGATGTGGTATACACAGCACGGCCTTCTGAGAGATATCAACTTAATGTTCATTTTCATAATCAGATGAAGCACCTACCCATTTTTGTGATAACACAGTTCATATTCACTTTGGCGAGAAATCTGAAAAGTAGAATAGCATAGGACAAGAAAAGTCTACTCTTGAACCTACCACTCCCCACAACCACTGCTGAATGTTTGTTGCATGGGCTTTGAAGGGAGGGCCACTATTGTAGTGGCCACATATAAAAATTCTCATACATAGACCATATAAAAACCTAACTCAGTGATAGACTCTCAGGAGCACACTGTTTATTTAAAAATAGTGTTATACAAACACACACACTAAAGGATATACGGAACCACTTGAGCATATTTTGCTCTCTAAACCGCATGCCTGCTGTCAGCCATCAATTAAACACAACAAACCCCACAGTGTAAACCTGTTAGTCGTTGTTCAACAGGGATTTAAATTTGTGTCTCCATAACTTCAAACTCCACAGTCAATTCAATTATTTAAATGAAAATAAACAAGCACTCCCATTGATTTTCAGAGAATAGACTTAATTTTCTACTTTTGAAACATATTCAAGGACCTTAATAATGGATACACTTCACTTTGGTTCAAGCTTTGTTTCATCATGGAAACAAAGTATCCTCTGTATCACTGTATCACTAGTAATTTCCCATCTCCATGCCTTCAATCCTATTTCCATGTTTCGAATCCTTCCTAACCTTCAAGACAGTTTACATTCTGTCTTTTCACAAAGCCATTTATAGTCTTCTTGTCAAGAAATAATTTCATTCTCTTCCATGATTTTATCTGCATTTTAATTCATGGTACCGATCAGCATTCCAGTTATTTATGCTCTTATCTAAGTGGCTCTATAGGACTGTCAGGGTCCTTATAGGTAAGAAAGTGAGCACTATGACAGTGATGAGGATGAAGAGCAGAGGTGAACCCTCATATATTACAAGCGCACTCTTTGCTAGACTTATGCTAGGCTTTTTATGTATATCGTAGTTTCAAAACAGGTATTATTATACTTATTTTACAAATGAAAAACTAAATTTTTTTCCCAGAGAGTTTAAGAAACTTACAAGATCATTTTGTCAATACAACGCACCTCCTATACTTGAAACACATTCTGTGAAGATCCAAGGCCTGTGCTATTTACATGGCTAAAATTTTTCTAAATAAAACTTGACATAATGTCATAGATAAAGACCCTTCCCCAACTATGGAGAATGAATGAAGAAAAGACTGTAGACTGTTTAAGGCATCTAGAATCTACATGGGAAAAAATAAGAAATGCCTAATTTAGAATTAGAAAGCAGAAAAATAATCTCAGCCATTGGAAGAAAAAAAATACCAATACATTTTGGGAATGTGGCTAGTAATTTAAAAATATATAAAACTTATATTAGTTAAAACTGGCCCCCAAACTTCTTCAGTTTCAGAATACGTTTTGGAGTTCTATGCGCCAGACAGAAGCTAAGTCGTGGAACTAACAGAAGGTTTTCACTGATTGCTAATCTGCTATTTGTAGGGGGACTTGGAACCCTCAAGGGCTGAAGATATTCTTAGAAGCTACTTCTCTTAGTAAAAGGTTTTCAGCCACTGCCCAGAGAATGAGAACAAGCCTGGCTGGTCTAATGATCAAGGGAACAAAGTCAGTAAACCTTGGACTAGTGGTCAAGAAGAACATTTTAAACAGTTCTTATTGTATGTTTTTATCTTCCTTAAATCTCTACTTTGCTTAAATCATTACTTAATGGAAGAATTTACGTAAGTACTTCCTTAACCTATTTTTTTTAACATCAATCATAATATATTACACAGATCTTCAGATTTATATTGCTGTAGGCTTCTACTTGTACTCTAAATAGAGACAACCAACTCAATTATGGAAAAAGCAGTCCGAAGTTGTACTGACAAAATATCATAAAGTATGTGTGGAGGGAATATTATACCCAGAAAATAGGAAATTCCCTCATGCTCACAGAGACTGTATTCTACTTTTCATTTTATAATTATAAACTATTTAACACAGGAATTAAGACTTCCAATTTATTTTATTTTTTCAGAAGTTATTTGAATAAAGTTTCATGACACCAAATATTAATAATTTTACATTACATCCTTATCCCAGATTCCTTAGAGATCAGGCACTTTTCCTTCAATTAGGCATAAAGTCATTTTAATCCTTTAACACATTAAAGTTAAATTATACAAGTTTTCTACAATAACCATACCTTATGTTTGAATCAAAGTGTGCTATGAAAAAATATAGTTACACAATGGAGTACTATTCAGCCACAAAAAGAATGAGATCCAGTCATTTGCAATAATATGGATGGAACTGAAGATCATTATGTTCAGTGAAATAAGCCAGGCGCAGAAAGACAAACATCATATGTTCTCATTCATTTGTAGGATCTAAAAATAAATACAATTGAACTCATGGACACAGTAGAAGGGTGGTTACCAGAGGTTGGGAAGGGGAGTGACGGGCAGCGAGTGAGTGGTGGAGAGGTGGGGCTGGCTAACAGGTTAAAAAAAAAATTATTATAGAAAGAATAAATAAAACCTATTATTTGATAGCACAACAGAGTGACTATAGTCAACTGTAACTTAACTGTATATTTTAAAATAACTTACAGTGTAACTGGACTGCCTGTAACTCAAAGAATAAATGCTTGAGGGGATGGATACTCCATTCTCCATGATGTGCTTATTTCACACTGCATGCCTGTATCAAAACATCTCATGTACCCCCAAAATATATATATATATATATATATATACATATACATACATACACACACACACACACACACACTATTTACCCACAAAAATTAAAAATAAAAAAATAAAATAAGATACTGCGCTTCAAAACATATCATCCTAGCAAAAAAAAGTAACCCAAAAATTAAAAAGTATTTTACCAATTGTGAAAAATAAACACACATTAGGTCCTTATGAACTAGAAAATAAATGGAAAAAGGATAATAATTGTGTAGTTCATAAACTTAAAAATGCAAAAATCCACAGTATACATCTGCAAAAGTTAAAATGAGTTGTTGATCTTGGGTATAATTGTATAATTCACTGTCAAAATTGAAAAGAAAAAGGGGTAACTTAGTTAACATATAAAAGTCATTATTTGACGGGCAACAGGTTCTTGAATGCCACCTTAGATATGGAGGCCTGTTACTGGCTGACCTTAATATGTCAGAAGAAAGATTCAAAAACTTCTGTCAAATTTCTTTGCCCCAGCTCTACATCCTGCTAACTAACCTCTCAATTCCACGTAAGCCAGTGTTAAGTGTGGTGGAGCAGAGAACACTCGCTTCAGAACAGGAGATCCTTTCTGAGTTCAGTCCAGACCAAAGAATGGTCATCTCTGGTGTTGAACCCAGCAATCTGTATATTAACTGATTCTCCAGGAAATTCATGGACATCTTAAACATTTCTTATTCACGCCTGTGTGTGTGACTGTGCATATGTGCATACTTGCAATGGAGAAAAACACGTTTATCCTGTTTTTTATGATAAGAACCTCTACTTGCTTTACTCTAAGTAAAGGCACTCTTTGTCCGGGGAATTTAAAATTAGTTCCATTAAATCCACTGGAACCAATGCTGCTGATATCACATATGAATTCCAGGTTTATGGACCCTAAGAGTTAATGGATAATGAGAATTCAAGGTTCCCTATTTTCTTCTGTCATAATTATTATAGGAATATAAGTAATTCATTTAACTGGTCTGTGCCCTTGAGACTGCACAGGTTGCTACCATTGTCACACAACACTGCAGCATTATTAAATATACTTCATATTAAGTCAGGTATAGGAAGATAAAATAGAAAGAGGAGACCTAATCTCTGAACTTAATGAGCTTAGACTTCAACAGGGAATATGCAATGGATCATAGTTTTTAGAAGAATACTATTACAAGAACATTAAATAAGTGAAAATGATAAAATGTCAACTCTAGAAGCATTAAGGAGAAAGAGACAGGAAGACTGAGAGAACTAAATCCTGTAATGACCACAGAACTATTCTTTCAAAAGGAGAAAACATGCAAATAAATTTTAAAAAATAAAACAAAATACGTGGAGAAATCCAATTTCTTCCAACATTCAAAGGCCTTGGAGCCCCGATTTCCTGCTATCTTACTTCAAAGTTTGCTTTTCATGTTCAAGTCGTTTATATTCTACTGGACTGCTAGGAAGGGAGGAAACAGTGTGAAGACTGTAAACTACTATATATAGTTTTCCCAAGAATATTTGTTCGTTTAATGAATATAGCAAACCTTTTGCAAGAATAACAAATGGCACATTCTGAAACTGTGATGAGTGATTTTTAAAAATTTATCTGAGCACTGTGGACCATGCACAGTTATTCTTAGCTGGGCACTGGTTCTTCCTTCACATTTGGGTTCAGGATCCTGTTCTTGTCTAAGGGAATGCTTGGAATGACAGAAAACGGCTTAGGCCAGCTACCTCTTTTTTTACATTTGCTAAAATGCCAAACCCCAGGAGCTCATGTCAATGTTGGTCATTCAGTGAAAAATCACCGAGTGACTACTGAATGATATGGAAATGTTATTTGTAATGCATTTGATAATAAACACTTTACACTGTCATTTGAATCTTGCCAAAGTTCGGGTTTGGATATTTTCCTTATTTTGATGTCCATATGGCTTACAAACAAAAGTTTAACAAATTCAATCACACTTACCAAGGAGATTTAAAGATTAAGCCTCATTTTAACAGGCCTGTTCATGTGGATAGATTAGAGATGTCATTTCCAGCGCAATAATAATAGAATATTGGATGGGAGCATAAGCTAAGTAGCCTGGAATTGAGTCAAAATCCTATAGGTTGTGTTCAGGTTTGCAATTTGAAAATGACGTGCTCTGTATAATTTACTGTTGAATATACAAAAATTGAGAGCAGTAACAACCGCTGACATTGTTCCGTATGTACAATGGATTCACAGTCTGGATATCTTCAGTCCTGTGTATGTTCAAGTCAGCTCTCTCTCTCTCTTTTTTTTTTTTTGACAGAGTCTCACTCTGTTGCCCAGGCTGGAGTGCTGTGGCACAATCTTGGCCCACTGCAACCTCCATCTTCTGGGTTCAAGCGATTCTTGTGCCTCAGCCTCCTGAGTAGCTGGGATTACAGGCCTGCACCACTACACCCGGCTAATTTTTGTATTTTTTTTTTTTTTTTTTAGTAGAGACGGAGTTTTACCATGTTGTCCAGGCTGGTCTCAAACTCCTGACCTCAGGTGATCCACCTCAGCATCCCAAAGTGTGGGATTACAGGCACGAGGCACTGTGCTGGCCAACTCTCTTTCTCTCTCTCTTTTAATCTCTTTATTATGGAAATTCAGAAACTATACACAACCCAGAATAGTCTATGAACTCCCTAAAGACTCATCAACCAGCTTCAACAATGATCATCTTTCTGCCCATCTCATTCCTCTCCTTTTTTTTTTTTTTTTTTTTTTGAGATGGAGTCTCGCTTTGTCACCCAGGCTGGAGTGCAATGGCACAATCTCAGCTCACTGCAACCTCTGCCTCCTGGGTACAAGCGATTCTCCTGCCTCAGCCTCCCGAGTAGCTGGGATTACAGGCGCATGCCCCCGTGCCCAGCTAATTTTTTGTATTTTTTTTAGTAGAGACGGGGTTTCACCATGCGGGCCAGGCTGGTCTTGAACTCCTGGCCTTCTGATCTGCCAGCCTCGGCCTCCTAAAGTGCTGGGATTACAGGCGTAAGCCACTGCGCCTGGCCCATCTCATTCCCTTCTACCTGCCCATCGCAGTATTCCATCAGGACATGGTTATATCCTTTCAGATAAAGGTTCACTGAAATCATTTTTCTCATATTCTTAGAATACAAAAAGCATACAAGTGCTGTTCTTATGGCTTTACTATCTTATTTGTTTTGGAAAAAAAAAGGAACTCTTACACTGGCTCAGTGGAAGAAGAAAGAATAATTTTTTATCCCTATTACTTATCACTAAGGAACATAAAGAATCTGCTGGTACCAAATCCCAGAGAGAGTGAGTGGTTTCTACTCCATTTCCCACTGTCCCACTGAAGATCAGGCCTCACTGGAGATCATGAGTTTGCTAGTGTTAAGCACACTATGCAGTTGAACCAGTCTACTGAGCTACTGTGTTCTCCAGTCAGAAGACAAAAATGTTTCCAGGGAGCTGTAATTTACATCCCCATTAAATATTTTTTCTTGATTTTCATTAAAATAAGAAAATAAGTTTTCTCTACTTAGTAGCAGATCAATTTAACTTAAATAAAATTTCTCCTGTAATTCACCCATACTTACTCAAAGGATTAGTGAGCCTCTGTCAGAGAAAGGATACTTGTCTGCTCATTAACATTCATTACCAAGAACCCTTCTGGTAGAACTGGTTTCAGAGTCTGATAGAGCAATACTTAAAAGAAATTGGCTTGTCTGTGAAACAGCTGCTCAGCAAAGCCACCATGCAAGGGAATTGGTGATAATAAGATGATAATATTACAACCACACTGGGAGCATAATGTATTTCAAGTTACTTTGAGGTGTGTGGTAGGGGTCTTAGAATTAGAAAAAGATTGGAAGTTCATCACTGAAGCCAGAGCTGATGATCAGCAGCGTGTAGCCTTAGTTTTGAAAGATCTGTCAAAGTTCAAAGAAAGAAAGAGAGAGAGAGAGAGAGAGAGACAGAGAGACAGAGAAAGGAGGAGGAGGAGGAGGAGGAGGAGAGAAGGAAGGCATATTCCAGTTGTACAAAGATCTGGGTTCTACATGCACCACATTTAAAGGACCCCCTACCAGGATCTTCTCTTTCAGCATTGTAAAAACAAAAGGCTTGAAAGGCGTTTGTGATTTACAAACCTGTTCAATAGCTCTGTCAAAGCCAAAATCTCTAATTGGACGATTTTTATTTTTGGAAGATCTGCCCTTTGGGAAATTGGCAGATTACTTTCCCATGCCAGTGAGACTGCTTCTCTAATTTCTAAAACTCAGTTCAGCGCATTCTGATTTCAAGAAGAGTGTCCTTCAGATGGAATACATGTCGCTGAGCTGGTAGCCTAGCAAATGTACAGAAGGCATTCAGCTAATTACTTCCTAGAATGATTAACATTATAAGCCCTATGAATTGCAGTTACCTATAATTCTGTGCAATGATTTAGGACAGCCGCAGCACAATCCACAGAAATATTACATCTATTTATCTGTATAACATTAATAACATCATAGAGGGGTGTATGTTGTAGTGTTTGTGTGTGTATGATTATACACGTATTTGTTAGTGTGTTAGGATATTGGGGGTAGTGAGACAATTGTGTCTGTCTTGCTGTGATTTATTTAGAAAATAAGTATTTTTCTTGAATTCCTAGGGAATCTATTTTTTAAAAGTCAATGTGATTAGTAAAACATTGGGAAGTAGCAAGAGGCAGTCACTTAAGGACTATGGTAGATTATGATACAGAAATAATCATTCCTTTCCCCACCTCCACTTCCTTGGGAGTAGTATAATCTCTTGTCCCACTAATGTTGGAAATTGCCATGAGATTTCCTTTGGCTTATGAACCTTAGGAAGACAGTGTGGCAATTCTAGTTTAGACTTTAAGGAGCATTCTGCCTCCACCTGTCGATATTAGCATCTCCAAACTCCACTAAGAGAAGAACATGCTTAAGACAGAGTACTGCTTTCAAAAGAATAACCTACGTGTAGACCAGACCAGAACAAAATGACTCTAAATGCATAGTTTAGAGTCAAGCCTGCATGAGCACATCTTAGAACAGCCAATCTCTAGTCAACCCAAAGATGTACTACGGAAAAATAAACACTTCTTGTTTATGCCCTGAAATTGTGTTTTTTTTTTTTTGTTAGAAAACAGTAAAGGGCTGGTGCAAGGAATAAAACATTGTGATAGAATATCTATCTAACAGATATATGCTAAATGTCAATACATTAACATTGTTGAAAATAAAATCAATGGTAAATTATTTACAATATGTCTGACAGACTTTGTGGACTTGCATACAAAATCTTTGATTCATTTTGTCTCGTCCTGGGACTTCTTTAATTATCATAATCTTAAGACATTCTTTGAATACTGAACTGCAAGCTCTTCCAAAAAGTCTTCTTGGATGCCACTACATAGAAAACTTTCCTCCCTCCTCTTTGCAATGGACTTCTACTTTAGGATACAAGTAATTCTGCCTTTCTTACTCTTAGGTTTATACTTATGTCTCCCCCAAAACGTAAACTCCTTGACAGGCAATGACCAAATTTTAGTCATTATTAGTCATTTTTTAATCTACAACAATACTTGGTTAAGTGCCTTCTCTATGGTAGGCTCTAAATGAATGTTTTCAAATAGAAATCACACACACATACAAAAAATATCACCCTTGTGACAAGAAATGTGAAAGATGCTATCACCATATGGAAACCTATTTAGGGTTTTTTCCTTTTCAAATAAGTGTATTCTCTGAGAAAATTAGGCCATATATTAAAAAAATCATTACGTTATTGCCACCTCTACAGTATATAGATGAGAAATGATACTTAAAAACAAAACACAAGCAGATTTGCAGTGTAAAAATATTATGTCATTGTATATAAATTATTTCTGCATCCAGTTCAATGGGTAGTCTGCAGGTGTTACTATAGAATAAGTTCTTCATAAGGATAGAACTTACTGTTCAATATTTTTATTTTGCTTTTAAAAATGTACTGGCTGCCAAAATTTCTGGACATATGTATATCATTAAAATACATTAATAAAAGCCAGGAAGGAAAGTAAAATAATAAGACCAAGAACACATAAACAAAAAACTTCATATGGAGCTCCAAATGTGAATATATTTCAGCTCAAATAAATCCAAAGGAAAAAGAACCTAAACAAAATATCCCTTCAATTAAATTCTCCTGCCTCTGAATAATCCATATTCCACAGACATTCTTGGAGGATAGGGTGTTAGTGCCAACATCAAGACAGAAACCACTAGGCTTTGTGAGGTAAAAAATAATAATAATAATACATCTTCATTGATTCAACAAAGGCTTTTACAAAAAACACCCATTCCTCTTTAATTTAGGGACAAATTCCAATTTAATACTGTTCCTGCCTTTCTCAAAGATATGGGTAGATTCTTTACCCACCAATATTTCTACTGCCCTTTTAAAGAAATATCAATAATTTTTCAACAGTATCCATTCAAAAGAAATAGAAATTGAGAATTTCAACCAAGTATTGACTTCCTATATATAACATGACTATTTCTAATTTTGATTTAAGTATTAGGTTTCAGTCTTGGATTCATCATTCTTAGTGGAAACTTGGCAAGTCATTTACCCTGTCAAATCTCCAGATTCCTTGAGGGCTGGACTATATTTAGGTGGGTAATTTTTTTTTTTGTAGGAGTTAAAAACAAATCTTCCACTTTTCCTTGACAGTCATTTCCACATCCTCCCCACAATAACTAGGACAGGACAGGCCCAGCAGGGTGAGATAGAGGGATAGGCGGTGTTGACCACAAGACGCCAGCACATCTGGGAACTGGAAAGCACTGGAGAGATGATGTGGTAGGTGGCTCAGAGCAGAGATCCAGGAGTGCTCAGCCTGGGATGGAATCCTGACTCTGCCATTTATTATAACATCTGCGTGACTGCACTGCAGTTTGCCTCAAATACCTAGGGTTAAAAATCCATGAAGGGCAGGGAACAGGGTCAGATGTTGCCTCTTATGACTACTACTACTAGCTGAATATTTGCCTGTTCTCCATTTCCTCTTACACGTGAGCTACTTGGTAGCCAACAGCAAAAGAGGACTTAGACACAAATGCCAATTTGACAGGCTAATCACTAAACACAAAAATACTAAAAATGAGTGAGTACACAAAGATGACTCTCCCCTTGTCTACGTTTTAATATGCTTTTGTTTATTGTTGCCTGGGGTGTTTGGCAGAGGAGAGGAAGGTGAGAAGGAAGGGAGTAATGTGATCATTCTGCCTGATGTACTAGATTGGGTCTTCATCCATCCAAAATTTTAATCCTGGGGAGCAACAGAAAAGCTGGGCTTGGCTACAGAGCATATTGAGAACATCCCTGCATAGTTCAGGGAGAACTTTTGCAGTGGCCAGGACCCAGACCAAAGGATAAGAGGCTTACAGGGATGTGTAATGAGAGCCAGAAATTGAGATTTGGCTGGAGAAATAAGAAAAAAAGCAAAACAACAAATACCTTGTCAGACCCTTGGAGAAGCAATGTCAAGAAACCTCTATTACATAGACTTTTATCATGACATTTTAATTCTATATTCAAAAACTTAAAAAAGATATACAGCTATGAGAAAATTCTCTGCCAAAGAATTAAAATTTCTGGAATTGATATTATGTATTTCTAAAATTTGTTGCCTCTCAGGTATGAATGCTAGGCTAATCCTGGAGCTAAGCATAGAAACTTAGGAAGGTTGGGTAATAACTCGTACTGATTCCACTTTAACTTCCTACCATCCGATGAGTATTTATAATTTTACAAATTATAAAATTATAGTGTCTCTTCTAAATGTTATCAAAATATCAATTTAAAAAAGACAGAGAAAGTAAGACAATAAATAGAATATGGTTTTAAGTTAACCGTATTGGAATCTCAAATTTTCAAAACAGTCACCACTGCCACAAAATAAAAAGTTAAATGGAATCAAAGCATTTCTCATACAGTAAGAAAAGTGATAACCAGAGATTAATCATTACCAGTGATTGACTTCAGCTTCTCTGAATATATCTTGGACTGGATCACATGTATGCAATTTAAATTGCTGCTGTACTTAATAAAAATAGAAAGAAAAGTCATCAACCTTTCTTAATTTTAATTAAGCAGTGGTTTTTCATAAACAGTATATAGCCAACAAAGACATACACAATCCAAATGACAAATTAAGACCTCTGAGAAAGCAGAAACAGAGGAAGAACCTCAAAATAGACAAGATGGATGAAGAGACTCCAGCAATGATGCAAAATGACTAACCAAATAGGAAGTTACTAAAAATAAACTCAAAGTCTTTTATAGTACCATTGGTTTTATGTGGGAAAATAAAACTCAAAGAGGGTAACATTCCATAACTGGACCTAGATACTTCTTTTGTGCTCACATCAAACTGACATTCATCAATAAGTGACATGAGAGAGTATTTGGGAGGAAGAAAGGAACAAATGGAAAACTACCCACATGAATGCACAATCACTCATGGAAGGTGACTTAGCAGGCTCACCTTTGAGACAAAAGAAAATAAATCATACCAGTGTATAACTGACCCTCATGAATCTGCCCAGAGAAAATAGCAGAAATTGTGACAGTGACTTTTTAATTGATGATGATGATGATTATTATTATTATTATTAAGTCTAAGTGCTTCAGGAGTTGAGATTATTAGAATCACATTTAGATTCTCTTTTTTTTTTTCCCACTCTGGCTGAAAGCCTCCAAAAAAAACAAAATCTTAATTTCTCTCCCATCCAACTCAATGCAACTGCAATAAGATGAGTGGTTGCTAAAGAATTCATCCTCCCTTAGGTCAGATCTAATCTTAGCAAAATCAATGTCCTGTCAAACTGATTGACATCATACCCTTAGGCACATTAGAACAATTCAAAGTATACCTATATACCTATAGGGAGGGAGTAAGTGAGAGAGTGGAGAGAGGTTTCTTTAATAAGACAAACCAGATGTGGGATTAGAAACTATAGATGCAAAGATATTAAAAGTTATTGATATAATACAAGAAGTAAGTATAAGGCTCGTCTTGTTTTGTTTTGTTGGTTTTGTTTTTGTTGTTTGTTTTGAGACAGAGTCTCACTCTGTTGCCCAGGCTGGAGTGTACTGGCACGATCTCGGCTCACTGCAACCTCCACCTCCCAGGTTCAAGTGAGTCTCCTGCCTTGGCCTCCCCAGTAGCTGGGACTACAGGCGCCTGGCACCACGCCCAGCTAATTTTTTTTTTTTTTTTTTTTTTGTATTTTTAGTAGAGATGGGGTTTCACCACGTTGGCCAGGATGGCCTCAATCTCTTGACCTCATGATCCACCCGCCTCAGCCTCCCAAAGTGCTGGGATTACAGGCATGAGCCACCATGCCTGGCCGGCTCAGTCTTGGTGAATTGCTTTACTTGTTTTAAAAATGTCAACTCTCCATAAAGCTACCTAATATTTAATATTTTTTTGTTAAAGAATATATATCATCTACCATGAATACTGTCCTGGAATTATTTTAAAATCACTTTGGAGTACAGCTTTATAAACACAGTAGAGCTTCTTTCTTGTTTCTTTCTTTGTTTGTTTGTTTTCCCAGAGACACAAGTCAAAATCACTGGCAACAGATCATTATCACCTGCTTTATGTAACAAATGACAAAACAGCTCAAATTGCTGTAGCTTGAAGTGATAGAGTGTAGTCCTCCAAACACAGAGTCCTATCAGGGGCTTCTGAATGTCACTGGATTTGTAACCTATAATCAAGAGTAACCCCTAAGTACTCCCTAGCTGCATTTAAGGGAACAACATTCACAGCATCACCGCTAAATAAAAATTATTTTCATATACATCCACATATAGTTATACACAAGGGAGAGCCAAAGACAGAATGTGAGGATGTTGAAACACACTTGCAGAAAGATCAAACTCCGGTCACTTACACAGAAAGTGTCACATCATTTGTACTGAAAATACCAGGTAGACCTGTCTTCCGTAACTTTGAGAACCAATTTGAAAAAGATCAGTGTTGCTGTAATAGTTTAAAACAGCAATAAAATGGAACATTTTACCTACTACACAGAAAATAAAAAAGAAACATAAAAACTTTGGCCAACCTTTCCTAAACTGGCTCTGCTGTGCATTGACTGAACTGAGAGAAGAAAATTAATAGCAGCTCTTTTGCTCTAGGGTAATGTTGTAGGACCAACGGAGCCAAAAGAAGGTTCACCACAAGGTGCAAGTCTGGTTTACAAGAAATCATGGTAAGGTACATTCATTTCTTAGAGCACTAAAGACAACACACCTTCTAAAAATACTAAATTTATTGTTATCATTGTTGATACTGCTTACAAAGAATCAAACTACTTTTGAATATTTTCAAACTATTCAGGCTCTAATGCGAAAATTCAATGCTGAAATTTCAGTCGTAATTTGTAATATAAAAATGTTTATTTAACAAATAGAATATAGAAATAACATTGACTGCTTATAATCAGGATATCAAAAGAGGGTCTAAACCTTATACAGAATGCATAACTGCAATGTAAAATGTGCTATATGATTGCAATGGCAAAGTCTAAAATAAAGGAATCTGTGTTGCTGACATTTAAAACAAGCCTTTCCTCTTCAAATGTGATGTTATATTTCAAATAATCTTAAATTACGCTTATTTTTTAAGGAGAATCCCCATATGAAAACTAGACAAGCTGCAGTATAACAAAACCTGAATTATAATTCCTCTAATAATGAAAACTTGAGCTAAATCTTTACAATAAATCTCACAGGCAAAGCACAAATGCAAAACAGCTCTTTGTTAAACCAGGTTTTACCAAGATATTACTAAAAAAAAAAAAATTACTGTCAAGAAAACTCATGCTTTTTCTAAAAATAGACAATGCTATAAATATTTAAGAGGGATAGAAAAGCTCCCTTTTTAAAAAAATATTTTTCATATGATACCAAGATTCTCATAGAAAAGTGCACCTATAACAAACTGAAGTGAAAACCATTTCACCTACCGTCAAATTTCTTATGCCTGGACACAAAAGTGGTGCGCACAAAATGGCTTGTCTCTTCCACAAGGTTTTCAAATTCGAGTTTGCTTTGTTGGCTTAACTTGTCTTCCATTTCTGTGGTGCAGCATGTATATTCCTGAGGACAGATTCTTAAGTGTTCCCCTGCAATGAGAAGTTAAATGTCACTATTGCATTCTAAGGACTTTTGGTAGACGTTAGAGATTTCACTTCTCTAACACTTTGCTCAAATCTCAGGGTGCTTGTTCCATCTACTTCTCCAGCCATCCCCATGAACTCTATCTGGGCCACAGCACATCAGTGTATCTAACATTCCAAACATGTTGACTTAAGTTGAACCCGATATTTAGTCTCTGTTCCTCATCATATAAGTGAAGGTGCATTAAAACTTCAAAATACTGTGGCATTTTTTCCTGGCTTTTATTTTTAATACATCAAGTAAACATCAGGTGATACAACAACACAAGATGTAATACAGCTATGTATGCTTTTCTCGGGAAACCTCAAGTAAGGCAAAAGACACTTAGTCCCATCACCAAAAGCAAGAAAAGATGATAACTGTCCCTTGGGTTCTCTTTCTGCAAGTCTGTCCCTGGGTATGCATCAGCTTTTCTCTAAGTCCAAGTGAGTGTGTTTTTAATGGTAGGTCTCATTCGCTAAGTTGACATTTCTTGTCAGACAGAAAACATTCTCCAGAAAGAAGGAAGTCACTGATGGGTTTAATTAATGCTTACGTTATAAGGAAATGTAGAATGAAAGGAATGAAAGCCTTGTATTTAATTCAACAGATCTATCTACTGCTTTCGACAACACTGCTTTCTTTAGTGCTATTTGCAAGTAGAAGCCAATCCTTTGCTTCATGAAATTAAAATGGCCTGTTATTGCATAAAATGTGAATTTCCAATTGAAGCAGCTCAGTTAGTGTCAAAAATCTTTCTCACAGCCTGTGGAGGGAAGAATGGAAATCCACCCAATGTCTTGCTAAATAAAACCAACAAATTGCTCCTGCTATTAAAGTCACCATAGGACACTGAAAACAAATGAACAAAGTGCTTGACTCTGTGATTAAAATTCATTTATAATGTTTAATAGTACTTATAAAGGTATGTCCTATGACCTTGTGTGAAGTATAGGTTGTCTCATGATTCTTCGTGTAGTTTAATGCTTAAGCTCCTACTTAAAACAACAGCAGAATAAAAAAAAGTTTACAAGTACATATTAACGTTAGGTCTTTTGCTGTTTTGAAGTCATTTTTTTTTCTTTTTTTACTGTTGAGGTGTTTGAGTTCCTAATTAAAAGACACTCAAATGTCCAACAATTACAACAAAAAAAAAAGGCTCACCGTGACTAATCATCCGGGAAATGCAAATCAAAATCACTGTGATGTATCATCTCACCCCAGTTAGGATGGTTGTTATCAGAAAGATAAAAAATAACAAATGCTGGGGAGGATTCAGGGAAAAGGAAACTCATATACTGTCAGTGGGAACGTAAACTATGATAGTGTCTATGGAGAACAGTATGGAGGTTCCTCAAAAGACTACAAATAGCATCCAGCAACCCACTCCTGGACATTTATCTGAAGAGAAGGAAATCAATACATCAAAGAGACGTTTGCATCCCATGTTTACTGGAACACTACGCACAATAGCCAAGATATGGAATCAGTCTAGGTGCCCAAAAACAAACAAACAGTTAAAGAAAATGTGGCATAAGTACACAATGGAATAGTACTCAGCCTTAAAAAGGATGATATCCCGATGGATTCACAGCCGAATTCTACCAGAGGTACAAGGAGGAACTGGTACCATTCCTTCTGAAACTATTCCAATCAATAGAAAAAGAGGGAATCCTCCCTAACTCATTTTATGAGGCCAGCATCATCCTGATACCAAAGCCGGGCAGACACACAACCAAAAAAGAGAATTTTAGACCAATATCCTTGATGAACATTGATGCAAAAATCCTCAATAAAATACTGGCAAACCGAATCCAGCAGCACATCAAAAAGCTTATCCACCATGATCAAGTGGGCTTCATTCCTGGGATGCAAGGCTGGTTCAATATACGCAAATCAATAAATGTAATCCAGCATATAAACAGAACCAAAGACAAAAACCACATGATTATCTCAATAGAGGCAGAAAAGGCCTTTGACAAAATTCAACGATGCTTCATGCTAAAAACTCTCAATAAATTAGGTATTGATGGGACGTATCTCAAAATAATAAGAGCTATCTATGACAAACCCACAGCCAATATCATATGGAATGGGCTAAAACTGGAAGCATTCCCTTTGAAAACTGGCACAAGACAGGGATGCCCTCTCTCACACTCCTATTCAACATAGTGTCGGAAGTTCTGGCCACGGTGATCAGGCAGCAGAAGGAAATAAAATGTATTCAATTAGGAAAAGAGGAAGTCAAATTGTCCCTGTTTGCAGAAGACATGACTGTATATCTAGAAAACCCCATCGTCTCAGCCCAAAATCTCCTTAAGCTGATAAGCAACTTCAGCAAAGTCTCAGGATACAAAATCAATCTACAAAAATCACAAGCATTCTTATACACCAATAACAGACAAACAGAGAGCCAAATCATGAGTGAACTCCCATTCACAATTGCTTCAAAGAGAATAAAATACCTAGGAATCCAACTTACAAGGGACGTGATGGACCTCTTCAAGGAGAACTACAAATCACTGCTCAATAAAATAAAAGAGAATACAAACAAATGGAAGAACATTCCATGCTCATGGGTAGGAAGAATCAATATCACGAAAATGGCCATACTGCCCAAGATAATTTATAGATTCAATGCCATCCCCATCAAGCTACCAATGACTTTCTTCACAGAATTGGAAAAAACTACTTTAAAGTTCATATGGAACCAAAAAGGAGCCCGCATCACCAAGTCAATCATAAGCCAAAAGAACAAAGCTGGAGGCATCACGCTACCTGACTTCAAACTATACTACAAGGCTACAGTAACCAAAACAGCATGGTACTGGTACCAAAACAGAGATATAGATCAATGGTACAGAACAGAGCCCTCAGAAATAATGCCGCATATCTACAACTATCTGATCTTTGACAAACCTGAGAAAAACAAGCAATGGGGAAAGGATTCCCTATTTAGTAAATGGTGCTGGGAAAACTGGCTAGCCATATGTAGAAAGCTGAAACTGGATCCCTTCCTTACACCTTACACAAAAATTAATTCAAGATGGATTAAAGACTTAAACGTTAGACCTAAAACCATAAAAACCCTAGAATAAAACCTAGGCATTAGCATTCAGGACATAGGCATGGGCAAGGACTTCATGTCTAAAACACCAAAAGCAATGGCAACAAAAGCCAAAATTGACAAATGGGATCTAATTAAACTAAAGAGCTTCTGCACAGCAAAAGAAGCTATCAGCAGAGTGAACAGGCAACCTACAAGATGGGAAAAAATTTTCGCAACCTACTCATCTGACAAAGGGCTAATATCCAGAATCTACAATGAACTCAAACAAATTTACAAGAAAAAAACAACCCCATCAAAAAGTGGGCAAAGGACATGAACAGACACTTCTCAAAAGAAGACATTTATGCAGCCAAAAAACACATGAAAAAATGCTCACCATCACTGGCCGTCAGAGAAATGCAAATCAAAACCACAATGAGATACCATCTCACAGCAGTTAGAATGGCAATCATTAAAAAGTCAGGAAACAACAGGTGCTGGAGAGGATGTGGAGAAATAGGAACACTTTTACACTGTTGGTGGGACTGTAAACTAGTTCAACCATTGTGGAAGTCAGTGTGGCGATTCCTCAGGGATCTAGAACTAGAAATACCATTTGACCCAGCCATCCCATTACTGGGTATATACCCAAAGGACTATAAATCATACTGCTATAAAGACACATGCACACGTATGTTTATTGCGGCACTATTCACAATAGCAAAGACTTGGAACCAACCCAAATGTCCAACAATGATAGACTGGATTAAGAAAATGTGGCACATATACACCATGGAATACTATGCAGCCATAAAAAATGATGAGTTCATGTCCTTTGTAGGGACATGGATGAAATTGGAAATCATCATTCTCAGTAAACTATCACAAGAACAAAAAAACCAAATGCCGCATATTCTCACTCATAGGTGGGAATTGAACAATGAGAACACATGGACACAGGAAGGGGAACATCACACTCTGGGGACTGTTGTGGGGTGGGGGGAGGGGGGAGGGATAGCTTTAGGAGATATACCTAATGCTAAATGACGAGTTAGTGGGTGCAGCACACCAGCATGGCACATGTATACATATGTAACTAACCTGCACATTGTGCACATGTTCCCTAAAACTTAAAGTATAATAATAAAAAAAAAAGGATGATATCCCATCATTCACTGCAACATGGATGAAACTGGAAGACATTATGTTAAGCGAAATAGCGAAGAAGAGAAAGATAAACATTGCATGTTCTCATTCATATGTGGAAGCTAAAAAAAGGATCTCTTGGAAGTTGAAAGCAGAACAGAGGATACTAGAGGCTGGGAAGGGTAGAGGAAAGTAAGAGGTCTTTGATAAGGAGATTTGTTAAAGGATACAAAATTATAGCTAATAGGAGGAATAAGTTCTAGTGTTCTACACCACTGTAGGATGACTATAGTTAACGATAATATATTACATAGTTTCAAAATGCTAGAAAGAGGATATTGAATGTTCCCAGCACAAAGAAATGATAAATGTTTAAGATGATAGACATGCTAATCCCCCTATCTGATCACTAAACATTTTATGTATCAAAGATCACTATGTACCTTCCATAAATATGTATAATTGTATAATTATTTTATGCCAATTAAAACAAAATAAAAATAAAGCTATATCTTATTAAATTTCTAGAAAAGGAGACAAAAAATAAATATATATGTATTTTTAAAAGAAGAGGAAATGCATTATTCTTGAAAATGATAAACATCAAATTCAAGTTAATAATTCGCTCCTAGGAAGGATTAGGATTTCAGAGAAATACTCCAATACTTTTATCTATAATCATTTATTTCTTAAGCTGCTTGATGGATATATGGTACTTAATACATTATCTTTACTTTTTCTGTATGATAAAAATATTTTGTAACAAAAACTGGGAAATATGTTATTAAAGCTTAGTAGTCACTACAGTTTTGCTAGAGAGGAGGTCAGAGGGTAGCTGTGAAGAATGAAAAAACAAGCAGCCCTTGACCTTTAGAAGCCAGCCTGGCATTCATTCTGCTGTTACACGTAAACATTCTCACAGAATACCAACCTCAGACAAGACTACTCTGAGACCACAAAAAAAATCGACCAAGTAAGGCCACTTCATAGTTTCGTCTAAGCACAGAAAACAAGGTTACTGTGCCATTCAAAAAGTACCAAGCGGCTGGGCACGGTGCCTCATGCCTGTAATCCCAGCACTTTGGAAGGCCAAGGCAGGCACATCACCTGAGGTCGTTAGTTTGAGACCAGCCTGACCAACATGGAGAAACTCTGTCTCCACTAAAAATACAAAATTAGCCGGGAGTGGTGGCGCATGCTTGTAATCCCAGCTACTTGGGAGGCTGAGGCAGGAGAATTGCTTCAACCTGGGAGGCTGAGGCTGCAGTGAGCTGAGGTCACGTCATTGCACTCTAGCCTGGACAACAAGAGCAAAACCCTGTCTCAAAAAAAAAAAAAAGTACCAAGCACTTCCTCTCTTGGCTAATATGATGGACTTCTTTACTAATCACAGATTTATCCTTGTGCTAGTCTTCCATTTTGTCAGCAAGACTTATTGAAATGCCTTATTAGAGAATTACCTTATTATAGAATTAACTCTGCTTTCTGACAGCATCCAATTCCGCGTGAGCCCGACTCTATGGACCCTCCCCTAAAACACACAACCAAAACCCATATCCTATAATAAATTCTTTCCGAGATCCTCTTACTGAGACATGGTTCTCCATGATATATGCTTGGTCTTGCAATAAATTATAACTAAACCTGTTCAACTACAAGGGTATTCCCGATCATCTTTCACGTGATGATTTCGACAACACCAAAATGGAACACTGCGAGTTGTGAAATTCTTCCCAAAGTGATTATGATACCCACATCCCACTGAGAAGCATGGTTCTAGAGCTAAAGACCCTAGGATAGAATAAGTTGACTATCAAAAGCAAATGGTCCATCAATCACTAATTTTCTTTTTAATAAGATATCAAGCCCAAATTATAAGGACAAAAATCAAATATCCACAATCAAAATCTCTAAGTGTTTTAATGACTTTTATATTGTCATTTGTTATTTTTCTTAATAACAAAAGAATATTGGGAGATATACCTAATGCTGGATGACACGTTGGTGGGTGCAGCGCACCAGCATGGCACATGTATACATATGTAACTAACCTGAACAATGTGCACATGTACCCTAAAACTTAAAGTATAATAAAAAAAAAAAAAGAATATTGTAATAAATGATCATGTTCTCTTTTTACATACCCATGAGTATTTAAAAAAATAGAACATTCAGTGGAGTTATGGTTTATGGTGAAATAGATGTTAAGGGCAGTGCATAAAGAGAAAATCTTTCCTGAAGGAAACATACTAAATTCATCAGTAGAGTACCCAATACAGGGTTTTGTGAATATCACCCAGAGAGTAGGTGACTTTCTCAGTCAGTTCCTTTAACTCTACTTTGCTTGATGTTTTTCTGTGGCTCTCAGTTAATTTCATCATTTCTTTCTTAGGAATATGGCGGAAGCCCTCCCACTTCTTTGCGTGACTATTTGAATACTATTTTCAGTTTCAATCACCTTAAGAAAGTTAAGGCAGCAAAACGCTGATCCTGGCCCAGTTTTATTCATGGCCTGGGGCATGTGAGCACAATTGTCAGTGATTTAAATTATCTTGCTGTCTCTTCACTTTCTCTCTCCATACTTATCTCTCTATTCTCCATCTCCTCATCTCTCTAGGTTTCTTACTCCCAGGAATACATATAAACATAAAGAAATGAGCTGACCTCTTAAGAACATTTCCAGTTCTATGAACAATCTAATAGTGCACTGAATTAGTAAGGCAGCTTCTTACATATACCTCCATGACTCTAAACTTCTACACACATGGAGAAAAATCTCTGGGAAATTTTTATCTACTACTACTTAGAAGAAAAAGTTAAGTATCTAGACATCAAGGTTACCCTGACAGCTTAACAATGAACCAGAAACATGGCCACTACATTTTTTTTTTCCACATAAACCCAGAAAGGGCTTGTAGTTCCAGCTTATGTTTCCACATGGGCTGGGTGTTCCTTAAACTGCAATGATTTCATGTCCAAAAATACAGACAACCTTTCATCCTGCAAGATACCATGATTTGCTCTTCCTTCACTCAGTATGAAAGTGCTGTTCATTTTTGAAAATTTTTTGTATTATATTTTTTGAGATTTTTAAAATAACAAGTCTTCCTGATATTTTCAGTTCTTTATTTTAATTTCATATTTCTAGTGTGATATCTAAGTAACAATTACATTAATATGGGTATTAAAAGGTGACATTGTAATTTGACCTTACCACTTACTAACTATGTGAAGTGAGAAGGAAATGCTTAACAACTCAATTCCTCATCTGTAAGAATGGAAATGATGGTAACAGGCTAGGAGATAGAATAGGGAAAAGGTTTAGCTCAGAGCTTAGCAAATTTTCATTAAAGTAGATATTTTAATTTTATAAACTATAATATGAAATATATCTAAGTAATGATTTTAAAATGTTGCTATGAGGATATCAAAAGTTTTTCTTTACTATTATAATTTCTAATACGTAAAAATACAAAAGCTCCACGTGTAAACACACAAAATGACTAGATAAGAGGAAATAGGTTTCTTCAAAATAATCAATCTATTATTATCTAATTATTATTGGAATTGATAACTGATTGATGTCCACAAAGAATAATTCATTGCACATTTATTTTCTATTAATTCTTTCTAAATTTAAGTGAATAAATACAAACTAAGTATAGTAGATGCAAGATAGTTTTCACCATTTTCAAAATTTTTCCAGACATAAAAGTTAAATTAACAAGAACTATCCATCTATTGGAAGGTGGTACAACCTCCTCATATCATGGCAAGAAGAGCAAAGGTTTAGCAAGATCAAGTAATTAACAGTTGCTAATGTCCCTAAGCTATGTCTGATCATCTAATGTTGCTAAGTTATGACAACAGCAAACTTACGAAAATTTTTCTGGGAGGAAAAGAGACATAGATATTTGGGGCGCGGGTGATGGAGGTGTCTTCAGGAAACTTTCACATCACAAAGTCTAAGCAGGCACCACTCATTATTATCCCTCATTCAGAAGAGACCAGCAGCTTAACAGTTAACTCTCGTGGAATATTTTCAAATTGTTTAGGGAATAACAAACAAATTGACAAAATGAAAATGTTGTTGCCTGTGTAATACTGCCTTGAGTTATTTACTTTAAAAGGCTTCCGTATAAACACTGGTATGCATGTGTGTATATAAACTTTAATCTATACCTTTAGGAACAGTTACCATTTACAGTACTTCAAACAGGAATCTATACACTTGGGGTGGCTATGGCAAGCTTTCAAAAAGTATTAACTAAATCAATATGAGGATTTACTAATGGGCAGAAGAGATGTTAAAAATAAATGTTCATAGGTGAAATTGGTGTTGTTCAAGCTATGGGGTTGGCAGCATTATTCACAATAACCAAAAGGTTGAAACAACCAAAATGCCCATCCACAGGTGAATAAACAACTTCTAGTATACACATACAATGGACTATTATTTCCCCATAAAAAGCAATGCAGTGCTAACACATACTACAACATGGACATTATGTTAAGCAAAATAAGCCAATCACAAGAGGACAAAGACAACATGATTCCACTTATATGAGGTGCCCGAAGTAGTCGAAATCATGCAGACAGAAAGTAGAATGGTGGTTACCTGGGGCTGGGGGGCAGGAGAAAATGGAGAGTTACTGTTAAACGATTATAGAATTTCAGGCTGGGAAGATGAAAAAGTTCTAGAGATGGATAATGGTGAAGATTACACAATACGAATGCACTTGATGCCATTAAACATACTCTGTAAAATGGTTAAAATGGTAAATTTTATATTATATATATTTTACCAATTTTTAAAAAGTAAAAAATTGAAAAAGTGAATTTGGCCCAAAAGGTTTTATAGTCTCTCCTCCCACTGCATGAATGAGACTTGAGAATCACAGAGGCCTGGCAACCTAATTCCTTGATCTGGGATGCTAGTCCCGTGTTCCCACACCACCCAGGGGAAACTCTGCTCACAGACATCGCTGGAACTTTGAAGCATCCCGATGTTGGAAGATCACTGTGTCAGCCTTGGAGTAAATCTTTCATGCAAAGTGCTTGTTAGAGCATGAGGGAGAGAGTACTGTGACATTCCCAAACATACAGGCTCATCACTGAGGTCTACTAGCCAGTAAATGTCTGAATGTGTGGCTGAATTCAGTCTGAGTCTTGCTTTCTTTGTAACATGTTACTAGATAGGAAGAAGGCTGTGGGATAACTGAAACATTGAAGTGTAGCTCTTCTCTTCCACTGATCTGAGCCTGCCGATATTCCTTAAAATTCTGACAATTATGAATGATCAGAGAAGCTAAGGAAAATCAGTTCTGCTTGGTTTTTTTTTTTTTTTTTCCTAAAAAAGTATCTGCAAATGGTGGCTGATACACAGTCCATCACCTATTTTTCTGGGAGCTGTGAGCCATGGTTGGGGAAAACATATCGTAAGACTCTTTTGACCATGTGAGAGTTTAATGCAATTCAAATTTAGGTGTAAAGTTTGATAATGACACAGCCACACTTATTCATTCATGGATTGTCTATGACTACTTTGGCATTACAACAGCAGAGCAGTTATGGCAGAGACCATGTGACCAGCAGTGCCTCAAATATTTACTTGGTGAAATCATGGCAGCTACTTTGCTGTATGAAGAATCCAACTCCATCCCTTTCTGTTTCAATTTCTCCAAACAGCAAGAATTCCTATTCTCAGCAGAACTACCTTCTGACACCTACAAGTATTTGATATAACAATGAAATTATTCCAAAGTTATAACTTTTGAAGAAGGAGAAAGTGCAATCCTTTTAAGAGTTTCCCACTCATATTCCTTTCTCAAATTGCCAAAGGTTCTTCATAATATGTCTAATATATAATTAGACACAACACTTAGCTCAACTGAAAAGGAGCCAGACACTCCCAGGACCACTAATAATAAAATCAGGATAAGAGACCAAAAATGCAGAACATGAAAAGCTGAAACTACAATAGCTATACCCTTATTCATCAAATCTTTATTGGAAAGTTTCTATGGGCAAATCATTATGGTAGGTTCATGTCATACAAAAGCAGACACAGGGCCACATAACCACGATTACACAGGTTGATGCTTTCTTAGGGCACTTGAAGTGAATGCCAGTGAGTTCCTTGGGTCCCCACCTTTTTACAGAGCTCTTCACAAGCTCTAAAATAAAAAAGAGAAACTGTAAATGTGAAAGAAGGGAGTTCTACCAGGAAGTTGCAGAATGAGCTCAAGGACATATGATCAGACCATAAATTGTCATCTGTTTTCCAAAGAAGAGATGAGGCTGCTCCTCACTCTGCATGCCTCTTTCAACTTACGTGTTGCTCTTCACAAGATATTTTCCCAAATGCTTGCCCAGATGTTCATTTTCACTACAAGATGCTGAGGTGACAGCAGAAATGTGATTCTGCCAGATCCCACTCCCTCCAGGGATGACCTTGAGCCTGAAAATGGCCAGGAATAGACCTGGTGAGTGGCGTGGTGGGAAAGAGGAGGAGACAGGAGGGCCTCGTTAACCCCACAAGCAAGCCTCTGCAGGTCTGCTACAGCAAGCTCTCCGCCCTCAGAAGTGACACTCAGGGACCTTGCGATGCACATCCCAAACAAACAGACAAACAACAGAAATGAAGTGCCCAGAGTGAGTCACATTTCACAGACTTCAGCCAACTAACTTTTGGCTTTTATAGAGCTCTGGAGCGCAGAGGGAAGTTACTATTTTTGTCCTTCCTAGGAAGTAGATAGAAAGTAAAAATCTACAAAGCTGAAAGGTGATGGCAAGATTGCTACTAACAAACTCCTCCTTGGAAAAATATTTCTTTTTCTTGAGTTTGGAGAAAGAGAGAGATGGGCCTTCCATTCCATTCTCCTGAGGAGCCTCCTAGAGCTTCTGCTTTTACTTATTTTGGGTTTTTCACCCATCTCCTCATACTCCTTCAGAATACTACTGCTGTTTTCTGCAGATGCGAGGCCAAGCAGAGCCAGTCATTTCTTTCCCTTCATTAAGGCTTCTTCTCCTGTTTCTCCAGCTTCCTACTGATCTCAGCAGCCACTTCCTCTGTTTGAACATTGCTTCCCAATAGGGTGAAATCATCCCCCAAGGAGGAAACAGTTAGTGATCCTGAAGGGGCAAGCAACAGGATGTCTCCAAGAAAAAGTAAGTTCTTGGACGAATCCTTGGAAGATTTCTCTCTCAAGCAGGATGGTCAGCAGTGGACCTAAAGAGGTGGCTGACAGCAAGAGCAACTTCAAGAAGAAGAAATAGTTCCATCAACTACCCCAGGAAGATTAGAATGTGTAAGGCATGCCATACGCCAAGGTGACATTTCCTACCCCGTGTCCTACACCCCAATAAAAACCAGTTCACACCAAAAAAGAAGATGGCAAGATCTCACAAAACAGAGAGCTTCAGTTTCTGAAACACCAAATTCCAATTGATCAGAGGGCAATATTTATTTCAGAGTTGGCCCTCTTCAGAGTATACAGTCTATGTCAGAGTTCTCTCATCCTAGAATTATTGAAATTCCCATAGTCAACAAGCACATCTGGTACCAAGCAACAGTGTTCTCATCATTCGACATGTCTCCTCAAATAAACATACAGTTTGTTCATCTGGTGCCAAGGATGTTAAGGAATTTAACCACACCTAAGGAAACAGGTGGAGGGAAGTGAAATACTTTAGAATACTTTAGAATTTAGCTAGAGTTTCTGATAGCTAAGATAATTTAAACTGGAGTTAATAGACCTGGACTGTTCTTAGTCTCATACATTTCCTATACAACCTAATTGGGAATGGCAGAATGTAGGGAAGCCACATTTTTAAAATGTATGTTCCAGTTCATTTCCTTAAGTTCAAATACCCTAAACCTCCAAATAAGCACTTTTCAACATTTTTCAGTGTAAAGAGGTATTATAAATGATCCTTTCATATCTCTCAGGGCTGCTCTTGTTTAGTGAAGTTGCTCAACACAATAATCAGAAATCTTCCAACTTTCACACAGGTTTTAGGAAATTCAATTAACATTCTACTTTAGGGGACCTTATCATTCAAACTACCAGTATTATTGTCATCCTTTGCTGATGTCAATTTCCTGATAAAAACTTTAAATGCTAATTCTTGTAGTTCTAAAATTTTCACTCTGCAAAAAATAGCTCCTTTAAATGGGACCAATTAGCTAATTGTTTAAATCAGGTCCAATGGTTATGCAGAGAGAATTTAAACATGCTACTCTAGATGACACAGAAGAAACTTCTTAGTTCTTCTGCCAGTGTTTCTGGCCCTTACCATTTGGTTGACTTTCCTGTTTCAGAGAAGCTGAACTGTTTAGGGGTGAGGATGAGCATAGAAGAAGGTGTGATCAGAATAATCAAGGGATAAAGCATATGGGAGGTGAGGAGTGGGCAGTGTGGGAAGGCAAAGCAGTCTTAGAAAGCAGAAAGCATCTGGAGTGAGAAAAGCTATCTTTTCTTTTTCTCACATCTAACCTTGGCCTTGGTATGTTATAAAATCATTAAACTTGTAAATTACTTGGTTATTTGTAAATAAAGGAAGTTTCTGCCTGTTTTAACTATATATACAATTTATTCAATTTATACCGATAAAATTTTTAGACATTTTAAAGCGCTGTCTCAACACAAAAGATAATCAGGAATTTGTATGCACAACTACACACATATACACACACACTCACATTACACACACACAGAGAGATTCATTGTATTTCTCAGCACCAATTTTTAAAAGATAATGAATAGAAAGATCTTGAGAGAAAATCTGAATGCTGCAACTTTTCTTACTACATGCAAACAGTCCAGGAAAACTGTGGTTATGCATTACAGAGCTGACGACAAAACATGGGAGCATTTTGATTCTATTATGCAAAGTACAAAATATCCTCGTATTCACTGTGACAGGGCTCACTTGGGCAAAACAGGAAGCTTTTGGAAGCACCATGAGATTTAAAATTTTCAAGGGAAATTTGACATCTGTAGAAAAGTGCAGAAACTACTTGGAGGTAGTTCACAGTTTCAACATTAAATAGTACTACCGTCCTTTTAATAGCATCATATCATTGCAAAGCAGCATTTTTCCTTACTTTCCATTTCCCTAGCAGCAGGTGAAAATCATGTGGAGCAGGAAATGAGGGTGGTGGTATCCAACTTTATTCTAGGGCTTGAGAAGTTGTGTGCTATCCATTAGTAAATAATTGTGACTATGTATGAAATAAATTTTTACAACGTATATGTATTATGTTTTCAAATGGTCACTAAGATTTTAGGATACAAATAGTGAATTGTTTGGACTTAATAAATAAAATGTTTAGTATTTCTTCTGGTTTAGGATGCCACAGAAAAATTAGTAGGACACTGTAATAGATTTGAGCCAGCACGGCTAGGCCATAGCACCCAGTAATGTAATCAAACACTAATGTAGGTGTTGCTGTAGAGGTAGTTTGTAGATGTGGTTAACATCCACAATCTGATGATTTTAAGTAAAGGAGATCACCCTCAATAATGTGGGCAGGCCTAACCTAATCAGTTGAAAGGTTTTATACGCAAAAACTGAGGCATCCTGGAGAAGAAACTCTTCTTCAACACTGCAGCATCAACTCTTGCATAAGGTTTGAGTCTGCCAGTCTGCCCTGCAGATTTCAGACTTGCCAGTCTCACAGTCTTACACCACATGAGCCAATTCCTTAAAATAAAGCCTTTTCTCCCTCTATCATATATATTATATATCATTATAATATATAAATGTAAATATATATGTAAAATATATATGTTCTTACATATAATTGGTCCTGTTTTTCTGGAGAACCTTGGCTGATACAGACACTTGGGACTCCATGAACAGAATACTTGGGAACCTCTGCACTAGCTCTGTCATCTTCCAGTAGGTCTACAATGGCACTCATCATGACTGCCTATGATTATCCATTTAACCCAACGTTTAGGACCTTTGCATATTATTTTTATTCCCTTTTCAGTATCCGTCAGTGTCAGTATCTGAGATATTATAAACGGAGTCAGTATTGTGTTAACCAACTTTCCAGTTCTGAGGGAAATTCTTAATTTAAAATGGATGTATTCTCCAATATAATTCCCAAATTATACCAATTTCCATGACATAAATACTCCCAACACAGCTGATTTCTAGCTGCCAAAATTGTGTCATGAATGTTGAAGTGGGGAGAGATTTGCATAGTGTCTTCTATGTAGTATTTCCTCCAGGCAGGTATGACAGATATCAAGAGTATAACTATTAATAAAATAATTAGAAACTGACAGTATTTTGGGGTCCACCATTTTTATTTTAACATAATTTAATTGTAAATTTATGCATTTTATTTTTAATAATTGCTGTTCTTAGGAAGAGATTCAAAAATTCCTGAAATTTTAACAATCGGTTCTCACAAACCAATATGCGCCGGTTCTAGCATGCCACTCCTCGGAGCTAAGAGTACTATATATTGTTGATTGGCTCCTTCTTTCACTTAATTGAGTCCCAAATCTAATAGAAAAGCCCCTAGACCAAGAGAGTCCGCATTTCCACTACCCACATAGATCTGCAGGTCAAAAACCTATTTGCCTCAAAGGAAAATCAGTTCCTCACATTTCTGACTGCCAAAGTACAGTAATGAATTACCTGGAGAGAAATGAGGAGGAGCAGAATAGGGTAGTTATTTTAAGAATGGTGGACAGTGGGGACTATGGTTCTACTGTGTGCTTAAAATCACCACCTGTCACAAGAAGGGTTATCATCATGACAAGGTGAACCAAGGTAACTGATCCAGGTTTTGCAATTTTCAGTCCCAGACTGTTGCTTCTATTTCAGAACACAGAGCCAAAGCCAAGTAGGAAGCTGTTACTCTATGCTACTGTTACGAAAGACCTAAGGTTCCATATTCCTTAGCCATCTGCTCATACCACTGCTATTACACCCCAAACTAGTAATTACGAACTGTGTCTTGTTTACTTTTGCAGTGCTCACTGCTTTAGCATAGGTCACCACAGAGGTTCTGCAATAAAAGTTAAATGGAATGCATCTGATTCTTCTCATGTTCTTCTCACTTTCTTCATTTATTTATTTATTCATTCATTCATTTGTTTAATTTCCACTCAATAACACACAAGCAATGGGTTAGGTATAATGCCTGGTGCTGCAGAAGAATAAGCAGAGACTTTGTGCTTAAGAATCTCAGAGACAGCCAGGCGCGGTGGCTCATGCCTGTAATCCCAGCACTTTGGGAGGCTGAGGTGGGTGGATCACGAGGTCAGGAGTTTGAGACCAGCCTGGCCCAGGTGGTAAAAACCTGTCTCTACTAAAAATACAAAAATTAGATGGGCGTGGTGGCGGGCACCTGTAATCCCAGCTACTGGGGAGGCTGAGGCAGGAGAATTGCTTGAAACCAGGGAGGTGGAGGTTGCAGTGAGCCGAGATGGTGCCACTACACTCCAGCCGGGGTGACAGAGTGAGACTCCATCTCAAAAAAAAAAAAAAAAAAAAAAAGAATCTCAGAGTCCACTATGGAAGGAAGCATCTATGTTTTGAGGTGCATTCTACAGATAAGCACAAGCTGTATAAGACCACATAATCCTGGACATCCACCCACCTATTCTTTGATGCCTTTTATAAGGACAGCATTGATTTCAGGGTCTTTTTAATTGTAATTCTGCCTACTTGATTTCTTAGCAAGTGTTAGTAGTATTACCAATCTCTTTGAGGTTCAATACCAGGGAAGAACATCGAAGTGGAGGTTTCACCTGTTTCACTTCACCCCAGCTCAACCATCTTTCAAACTGCAGGACCTAACATCAGTTAGCATCAGCGTTCAAGCTTAAAATACAACAGAGTATTTCAGAGCTCATCATAAGAAGTAAAAATATTTCTTGTATATATTGTATATGCACTGGGATGCAATATATATGTCTTATGGTAGGTTGTGGGCAAAATATTTGAAATTCAACAATTGATATTGTGTGTAAGCAGTGATAGAAAGTATCACTTTGTGATACTTTCCACAGTATGTGGACTGTGATAGACAGTCCACATACTAATGCATAGTTATGAACCCATAAATAGCCTATGCTCATTTAGATAGGTTTAGCTGATTTTATGCATGCTTTCTTTTTCAATGATATCAAGATGTCCTCCTTGAAAGTATTTTTAAGTATATCTACATCTCAACCACTGTTTCTAAAACATATTTATACAGGCTCATTTTCCATTTGTGTTTCATAAATATATTGTCTTCATATCCAAAAGAAAGGCTAATCGCTAACTCAAGACAGGGAAATGTAAATAGTATTTATAAATATGTTGCAAATTTCAGACCTGCTCACAACTCATTTGCCATATTTACCTTAGAAGATGCCAAAAACTTCATATTCAAATATCCAAAGATGTTTTTAGTCCTAGAGCCTGAATGGTATCTTATCTGAATAATATTTTTCCTTTTTGCATGTGTCATCTTTATGGACAAGTTTGGTTAGATCTCATTAAGCAGCTTCAACACTGCTTGCCAAACCATGGCAAACAGTAATTCACCACCTCCCAGTGACCTTCTACAACTCAGCTGACCAGAGATGCTGATTTCCATCTTTCACTCTCTCTGACTCTTAATGCATAAATCAAACCAACTACCATCTATAAATTCACCCACAAACAATCAATTTCAAGTTTATTGCAGTTGCAGTCCCACAGCCCTCTTTGCTTACTCAAAGTTAGCCACTTTACTATTGAATTTGGTGAGTCTGGGGTGATATACAATAAACTAATTTTCAAAGTGCTCGTTTTTGCTCCTGATAGCAGCAGATCAGCATTCTTACTAAACTATATAACAGCTGACATTAGAATTTTAAGATTTACTGTTCAAAGCCCAAGAGCTGTAAACTAGTTCAGACCAATTCAGTAAAAGGGCCAAGTCTAGGTGAGAGTGATTAAGAACATAATCAAATTGAACTGCCTGTAAGACTTCATGAAAAATTATTTTTCTTCCCTATAAAATAGTGCAATTTCAGTAGGCATCTGTAAAAGCATGACTACAACACTGATCATATCACATAGAGTAAAACGATGAAAGGCAAAGTGGCTAGAAATGTCACAAGATCTATGGTACAGTCTATAAGTGTATATTTCTTTAATTGCCTCCCTCCATGACAATGGAACTCCATAATATCTAACCTTTTATAACTCACACAGCCATTAATTTATAATAATTACCTTAATTCCCACTAATCATTTAAGATGGATGCCCATAGGTAAATATCACTCAGTCTCTATTTCACAGATGGGGGATGCGAGGCCAACAAAAAGGAGACAGCCCTTTTCCCCTGGCATCACTTTTTCAATTAATAAAGGGCAAGAGGTCTCTTTCTAAAATTTGTGTATAGGTACCTAAATATTAAAATGATACCACTTCAAATGATATAATAAATTCTAGCATCCTTTCCAACCTAGGGCTTTAAAATGTCTGTGTTCAGGTAACAGCAGTACAGTCAAGCATTATCATTAAATAATTTGTGTGATTAAAGCTCAGCCATGGTTTTAAACCAAAAGGAGTTCAGAGTCTCTGAAGAGGGAGAAACAAAGACTCATGAAATTAAAGCACATACCCCATATCTCTAAAAAAGTAGTGAAACGCTAAACTGAGTTTTAAGGAATACACTGCATAAGGAGGAAGAGTGAAAAATGTCTTTACATCGAACGTAATGTTTTTGAACATGGAGACTATAGGTAATAATATTATACTGTATACAGGAAATTTGCTGAGATAGATGTTAGGTGCTCTTACCACACACACACAAAAGGTAACTATGGTAGGTGATGGATATGTTAATTTGTTTGACTGCTAACGATAAGTTGCTTGACTGCAGTAATCATTTCATTCTGTATATGTATATCAAAATAACATTGTTTTAAAATATAAAAAAACTCTAAATAATTCCTTTACAGAAAGCTTTTTAAAAAAAAAACTTAAAATATCTCAGTAGGAATAAAAACACAATGCTTAGGGCACACTAAGAATAATCACAGCTTTTCCTTCATGTTTATAATCTCTTTATTTGGGATAAAGTTCTTAGACTGCCAACAAAACAGGCAGAATAAACAGTTACACACATCCTATGATACTGCTGGAAGCCACATGTATCCCTGCTTTTACCTAGCATTTAAATCAAAATATGCAAAATAACAATCTGATTAAATCAATATCATTTAACCTAAGAACATACTTAATTTATCAGATTGGCTCTTTCAAAGTAAGACATTAATGGAAAAGGGTCTTGAACTGAGACTTTTTAATGCAAGGGCTAGAGTGGGATGACATTCAATCTTTGAAGGGCAAATGTTGCTTCAGAAAAGTTAACTTCAGCCTATGTCATTGCATCTCCTAATCGTTATTTGAAATTGCCAGTTACATACTCTGTGGTTTAGCCTCCTATATTAAATGTTACTGTACTCGGGGAAGAGAAAATATATAAGGATATGTGCAGGCAATTAATAGTACACAAGGAAGATATTGATAGCATTTAACCCAATTTATAATATGTCTGTTACTTCTGTGATCTGGATTACTAAGTTTGCCTTCTCAGGGCTCCTGCACAATTCCTTGCATAATAAGTATTCGGGGTCTACATCTTTAATCCCTGAAAAGTCCTCCCAATTTAAATAATTTCTCCTCAAAGAAACTTACACTGATCACCTTAGTTGACATTCATTTACATGTCCCACGTAACTGAATTACCTTTGGTCTGTGCATCTATTATAGTGTTCATTCTAATGCACCCTGATGTATGGCGATTTATGGAAAAGCCCATATTTCCATATTTTATTTTGATAGAAAAGTGGACTTAGGTTCTAGGCTCATTTCATCGCAAACAGAATTTTTAGCTATCAGAGTATGGGACAGAATATTTAAAAGTTGTGCTGGATGCTGAACAAGTGTCTTCATCTTACAGAAAGATATAATTCATGGCAAGATATCATACATCTTTGTTAACTACCTAATAATTGTCAAGGTTAAACAAACAATGCACTTTTAAACTCTAGGATCCTACAATGTTGTGCATTCTCCTTCTAAACATAAGATGTGTATAGCAAATACATAAGGGTCTTGTGTGAGTAGGTTGTGAGCCACTGGGCTGAAACCATTGGTTCTTTATTAATTCATTTATTCACAATCACTTTACATTTCTCTACTCATTCTTTCAGTCATATATTGAATGCCTACTATTATAAGGAGATAGCTCTGGCACCTATAAATAATTAACCATCTGAGAAACTTAGCCTTGTGCTCTAGTTTGAAAATCCATT